>NC_000003.12:108857089-109160119 GCF_000001405.40 Homo sapiens
AATCTTCCTCTGAGGTTTTGTCATTTGATTAACAGAACAGACAATTTATATTAACACAGAAAAACAGAGCATTGACAGAAAGGAACAAGACAGAATATAAATTCAACAGAGGTACACTTCTAAATGCTATTTGCCATTCTTTAACCTCTTCTGAAGGGCTCTTCTGCACCCACTCACAGCTTCTACTACCTAGGAAGTCATGCATCAAGGGTGGGTACCTGAATCACGACAGTGGATTCTCCTTTTTTTCAGTTTCAATAAAACTTTTTTTACAAAATCAAGCAGGCCAGATGTAGCCTAGGGGCCATAGTTGGCTGACGCCTGGCAAGATCATTTGTTTCATTAGGAGCTTGCAAAATGATATGCTAGTCCTGTTATTCCTTCTTCATGTATTAGTTGGAATACATTATAGGAAGAAGACAGTAGATTCATCTTTGAACCAACCTAGATACAAGAGACTGGATAGTGATCAGAACAACAACAACAAAAAAAAACAATAGATAGAATTGGGGCTTTGAAAAGCAGGGTACAATTACAAGGGGAAGAAACTTAGAGTAAGATGGCAGAGACTGGAGTTCAAAGCTCCATAACTAATCAGACTAATCATATAACAATCATGACAATGATAAGTCATATTTATTGAGAACTTGCTAAGTGTAAGACACTGTGATAAGTGCTTACCTGCATACTTAATTTAATCACATAACACCCTAAAAGATAGATGCTAACCTTAAAGATGAAGAAACCAAGACTGATAAAAAGTAACTTGCCTGATGTCACACAAATAAACTGTAGACTCAGGATTTGAATATAAGTAGTCTAAGTGTAGAACTTGCTCTGTAGAATAGCTGATTTCTAGAGTTGGGTTTAAGTGCTCTTGGGCCCTATTTCTTAATTATCCCTGCATCCTATCTATTTAATAATAGTAATCTCTTTATTTTAAGTGCTGTGCTTGCATTTCTGTTATTTAAAATCAAAAGAGGCTAACTAAAACAAATTGAAAACAATTCTTAAAAATAATGACGATTTATGGCAGCTTGTACACACTAACAGCCCTTCTAATTTAGGAAAAATCCAACAATAAATCCCCTTAAATGACAGGCTGTTGCTTTCAATAAACACTAAGACTTACATCTACCACAATATTTTCATATTAAAGTGTTTTTACAGGAAAGTATTTTATTAATGCCACTTGCTTTAAAATGACTTAGCTTTTCTTTTTCAGTTTTGTGTATAAAAAAAGAGGTTTTCCCTGCAGTGACCTCATATTCACTCTCCATAAGAGACAGAACCCAAAACTAACTTACAAAAACAAAAATAAATAAATCCCGATATTGAAGCTAAAACATAATTTTGTGCCCCCTTTTGTCTAATTTTTTCTGTAGGGGATGAAAGTTATCTCATTTGGAATCAGGGAAACATTTGTTATTTAGACCAAAATGGAAGAGAATGGAAAAAGAATCTCAATCAATAGCGTTCTTGGCCACCTCTGATGTAATGGACAAGTCTTTAAAGATGTCAGTAACCATCATAACACTTGAGAATTAAGTAGGTTTATTTCTTCCATCTGCATTGATTAAGAACATACTTGGTAAATTAACTGGAAAAATTGGGTCAAGTGAGGAATAAATTTTTAAAGTACCATAAACATTTAAATTTAAAACGTATAAACATTTAGTCATTAACTTTTGATATAGGGCCAAGGCCTTACTTTGAGTAGGTCTATGATTGAAGTTTCATGTCATTTTTCTTGTATAAATATCATTGTCCATAAAACACTGTCTATGGTCCCAGTTTTGGTTTTGTTTTTAAGTGAAATGAGAACTTGAAAACATTTCTAATGAAATCTAACTGCAGCATCCCTCAAGATTTTTGGTTTTTCTTCCGAGACTTTAAGAGTTATTTCACCCTTACCTAAATTGTCAGTAATTTTTTTTTAGCAATTCGGTTTATTGATTCTTTGGAATCAGTGAACTTAACTATCATAGGAAAAGTTCCCTCCACACCCATATTTCATTAGGACACATAACAATTATCTTATGTAATTACAAGTACAGCCAAAATAATCAAGTGCAGGAACAAACACCATGCACTCCTGGGAAACACAGTTTTGGTGGTGGGAGAGACTCAGGAGGTTATAAGAATAGTCTACTGGCCATGGTGTTTATTGTGCTGGGTCAGGATTCAGTATGTTGATAGAAGGAAGGGAAAATGGCTCACATAGGTAGAGGTCAGTTAACAATGCCTCTATTTTACAAACCCAAGTTAACTTTACAGGATGAATTATTAGAACAATGGAAGAGTCTCCCACATCCTTTGCTGTTCTATTTTGTCTTTTTTTTTTTAACCACACAAGCAGTAGTGGTACCCAAAAATTCTACCATTTGAAAAATTAATTTTTAAATTAAATACTCTACTTTTTAGTCTTTCTACAAAGTATTGAGAAAGAAAAAAAACTTAAGAAAACTGGGGCAAATCAGTTTTTCTCCAATTTCCATTCTCCCATTTTTCCTAAGTACAGAATCTTTACTTTTAACTGGTGATCAAGACAGCATTAACTTCTCAAGTTAACTAAACTTCAGACAGATTTCTTCCTGTCCGTTTTCCTATTTACTTAAAAAACAAACTCATCATTGCAAATTCTTTTTTGGCTCCCTTTCAAGTGTGTATGTCTCCTCAAAAAGCTTTTACCTATTTGATTACCCCCAGAAATGTCTCTCTCAAAAACCTGAAAACCATCTCTTTGAAATGTAATTTCTGAAGGAAGATAATGCCTTTATCCTCCAGTCTGTGGGAGGGCAAAAGCCTACCTTCCGTCATGGAGATAGGTCAGAATTAAGCACAGGTGGCCTACCGTTACCCCCACCCCAGCTCTTAAAAACTCTCCAGCCTTTTGTTTCACCCTGAACTCAGAGGCTGAGTTGAGTTCAACCTCTCTCCTGTATTGCAATAGTCTTGAATAAAGTCTCTCTTGCTTGTTTAACTTTGGCTCATTTTTCACTTTAATACCAGATGCACGGCTGCTGGAACAATGTTCCCTCTGTAGCTTGTGTTGCCTTTCTTTGGCTCCTCATTACCTGTAGCTGGAATAAAGATGTGGTGGCTGAAGTCTGAATAGCAACATTTGATCACAGGATAGACTGCATGGGCTGAAGATGACAGAGAAATAGGATAAAAAGAGCTAAATTCCTAACACATGGAACAGCATCCCAGCCTTAGACCACCTATCTCCAGCCTTCTTTAATGTGAGAGATAAATTTCTGTTTTACTTAAGCCATTGTTGTTTTGAGATTTCTGTTATTCACAGGTGGACCTAATCTAACTAATATACCCCAAAATATCTTGATTTCATTTTTCACCTAACTTCTTTTAAAGAGGTAGTAAGGAGTACTAAAATGATGTCATTTGGGGTGAAGTGGGGTTGGCAGAATGAAATTCACTGGTATTACGTTGGTGCAAAAGTAACTGTGGTCTTTGCCATTAAAAGTAATGGACAGGCCAGGCGCGGTGGCTCACACCTATAATCCCAGCACTTTGGGGGACCGAGGCAGGCGGATCACGAGGTCAGGAGTTCGAGACCAGCCTGACCAACATGGTGAAACCCCGTCTCTACTAAAAATACAAAAATTAGCCAGACATGGTGGCACACGCCTGTAATCGCAGCTACTCAGGAGGCTGAGGCAGGAGAATCACTTGAACCTGGGAGGCAGAGGTTGTAGTGAGTTAAGACTGCGCCACTGCACTCCAACCTGGGTAACAGAGCAAGACTCCATCTCAAAAAAAAAAAAAAGAAAGTAATAGAAAGACCACAATTACTTTTGCACCAACCTAATACTTTTCCATGTACCGAATCTGCTCCAAACCACTCAGAACATTTGTAGAGATGAAAGAAAAGCCAGTTTCCTGTAAGATTAATATGAAAAATTCTCACATATGCATTAAATTGTTTCCTCTCCATTAAAATTTAGGATATTTTATCTGTAACTATGAGAAATTAAATTTGTATACAATTATTGCTTACTATATTCACAAGTTCAGAAGAAATAGTTGAAAGAATAAAATTGTAACTTAAGGAGATCAATTAGAAAATGGATAAGACATATGCAGATATTTTAAATAAATATTAACCTATTTTTAAAAGACCAACCATCCCTTGGCTATTTACACTTCATCTTGCTGTCTAAATCCTACTATCAAATTGTTAAGGGCAATATTACTTACTGTCGCTAACTTGGTATCAATTACCAAGTTAGTATCAGTTTGATCTAATTTATTCAACCTCAGCAGGCCTTAGAAGACAAGGTTCCAGCAATAGACAAATAAAGCCGTCTGCAGAGTTTAATGCTAAGTACTGGTTTGGGAAAAAGAACAAAGAAGTGGAACAGTCAGATTCTAATTGGGAGGCAGGAGCTGCAGCCTCTTGTTGCAGGGGATTTAGGAGAGCAGGGAAACTTGTTTCTCTGGACAGAAGTGCTGCAGTGTCCCCTGCTCTCTAAGTGTCTAAACCTTTGATTACCTTAAGAAAGAAAGACCTTTTCTTGTGCTTGTTGACATCTTCTTGTCAATTTTGCCACTCTTGTGACATTAGCATATTCCTCATTAGCAAAATCAGAATGTGGTAGATTAATGCCACACACTCCTTCTCTCACTAAGTAAAATCCTATTCATCCTTTATTCCATTTCTGCAAATAAAAATGAAGTCTTAGGCCTGCTTTTCACTTCTTATGCTAAGTAATGAAGTTCCTAAGCCTGGCCTTAAAAAATGCAAGTCTTCACAATCAACAATAGGTGGCTAAAAAAGATGAAGAGATGTCCCCTCTCTCCTGAAGTTACAAGATAGAGCTTTCTGCATCATAAAATAAATTCAAATAGTCTGATGTGATAAGGTATTAAATTAAGAACATTCACAAGAATATCAATCTTGCTTCTGTGCAACAAGGAGACTTGTGTGAATATTCATAACTGTTGCCAACTTCTTCTATTCTCTGTTAATATAAATTTGTCCTTGGAAGTATGGTTAGAAGAGATTCTTCTAAGACTTTGAAGACTAGTTTGTTGCAATGCCCTGTGATAATAACCAGAAGAAACGTGCAATTCTGATTGGTTATCTTACTTGCCCTTGTAATATTATAATTGACACCTCAGTGCTTGTTTGTTTGTTTGTTTGTTTTTGAGATGGAGTATCGCTCTGTCACCCAGGCTGGGGTGCAGTGGCACAATCTCAGCTCACTGCAACCTCCACCTCCCAGGTTCAAGCGATTCTCCTGCCTCAGCCTCCCAAGTAGCTGGGGCTACAGACATCCTCCACCATGCCCTGCTAATTTTTTTTGTATTTCTAGTAGAGATGGGGTTTCACCATGTTGGTCAGGCTGGTCTCGAACTCCTGACCTCAAATGATCCACCCACCTCAGCCTCCCAAACTTCTGGGATTACAAGTGTGAGTCACCATACCCGGCCACCTCAGTGTTTTTAAACAATATAAATGCTTGAAAGATTACTAGGTCATACAAAAAAATAATCACTGGCACTTTCTTTTTTTCTGACAGGCATAATGGAAAAGTTAAAGCCTATGACTGCAACTTTTTTTTAACACAGAGATGAAGGGTCTAGCTAATTTATCGGGAACAATATCTATTTAAATCTACCTAACAAGCTATTATAAGAAGGGGCAGCTGAGGTAGTAAAATGGAGAAGTAGGCAAAATGCAAGGAGCTGTTATTTTCAAAATGACCCTGTAAGGCATTCTTCCTACAAAAATTTGTGTAAGCCCACTATGTGCTAGTCACTATTCCAGTGTAATGGCCAACCCAGTGCCCAGTCGGTGTTTGGGGCTATCAACAACAGTCCCCGGTTTTGCATATGCACTTTCCCCACCCTCATTCAGCCACGTGTCTCACAGGAAATCGAGCCGTTCCCCAGGTGAGAAAAGGAAATCAAGGTGGGGCATAATTAGTTCAAGGGTATTGTAACAGAGCCACAGGAAGAAATGGTTTCTCATCACCTATCTGAGCACTTTTGCATCTGATATGACACCCAGAACTGCTGCAGTCATCTTGTTACTACTCTGAGGATGAAGCCAGAACCAAGAGACTGAGCAGAGAGATGGGAGAATACAACCAAAATCACTTGGGGCAGTTTACTCAGCCCTCACCCTTGCCTCTTACCCAATTAAGGGACAAAGGCCTGTGGATTTTGTTACTATATCCCATTTCATTTTTCTTTTTCCCTCATCCAGGCTCATGGCATCTTTCACCTGACTTACTACAATAGACTTGTGATTTATCTCTCTTCCCCAAGTCTTCTGCTTACTCTCAGAGTGTGTCTAAGACATAGCTCAGATTATTTCCCTCCTCTTTTAAAAAACCCCTACTGATTTTCATTGCTTAGACCAATTGTTCTCAAACTTCAATGAGAAGTAAAAAATCACCAGGGGATTTTATAAAGCATACATATGTGAGTCACATACTTCAGTGATTCTGACTCATAAGTTTTCTATTGGAGCCTAGAAATCTACGCATTAACAGCCTGGTGATTCTTATGTAATATGACCCTTGAATCACCATTTGATAAGCATTTATTTAGATGTGAAAGGCCAAACTGTTGCAGAACTTTCTCCTTAGTTCAGCTAAAACCGGGTTCTTGTCACATGACCAGGAAGGATTAGGCTCACAGACACATAGAAGGGTGAGGAGTAGAAATTATTGGGTGAAAAGGAAAAAGGAAAAATAACTCTCAGCAAAGTGAGAGAAAGTCCTGCTAGCAGGTTTTCCACCTCACAGATTGAATTCCAGGTCACCAACCAGGAACTGAAGAGGCCAGGCTCCTCCCCCTGCCAATGGCATGAACTTCCCGAGGCTGCACCCTGTCCTCCCAGTGCGCAGGTGGGCAGTATTCAGTCAGGAGAGGGCAGCTTCATCTGGGACCAGCAGTCTGGTTTTTCAGCCTTCAGGCCGTTTTAGGCTTGAAGGCGAGGTTTCGCCGGGGACCCTTGGTTGTCTCATCTCTATCAAAACTACTTAACTAGCATCTTATGTCTTCTTTGCCCAGTCCCCAAACATCTTTCAAATTGTATTCATTCACAGCATCTCCTATATACCAACCACACTTGACTACTGCTTCCTAAGCATACCATGCATTTTCAAGGCTCTGTGATTCAACTTTCCCTGCCTAAGATAATCTTCCCCATCCTTGAGATTTAGCTTAAACATCACAACCTTCATTAAGCCTCCTTTGACCTGCCCCTTCAACGGCATTATGTAAATTTGTTGTCCTTACTATATATTCCAAAATCACACGACCTGGTCCTCTACTTAGCACTTTAACAATGTGTCAGAGCCATTTTTGAATCTCAGATAAATTATAAACATCTGAATTAGGGCTTTATTTCATTTATCTGTGTTAAAAATTCTCGGCCGGGCGCGGTGCCTCACGCCTGTAATCCCAGCACTTTGGGAGGCCAAGGCGGGCGGATCACGAGGTCAGGAGATTGAGACCATCCTGGTTAACATGGTGAAACCACGTCTCTACTAAAAATACAAAAAAATTAGCCGGGCGTGGTGGCAGGCGCCTGTAGTCCCAGCTACTCGGGAGGCTGAGGCAGGAGAATGGCCTGAACCCGGGAGGCGGAGCTTGCAGTGAGCCGAGATAGCGCCACTGCACTCCAGCCTGGGCGACAGAGTGAGACTCCATTTCAAAAAACAAACAAACAAGCAAAATTCTCACCAGACCCTCCAAAATATTGGAATTATATACATGTTATAATATAACTCTTTACATTTTAAAATAATAAATTAGGGCATTGGAAAGATGAAGAGAAGAAAACATATTAACAAAATTGACCAATCAAGTTTGAAAAAAGAACTTTTAGAAAAGAAATATAGATATTTGCTATTTGAAATATATAAAACATTTGATGTTAAATCAGTTAAAATAGCTAGTGATTGATAGTAACTGAAGAAATGACTCAGTATGAAGTATAAAGAGATGACAAACATGAAAAATGTTAAGATACTTGAAAGAGAGAGTAAGAAGCTTTATGTAGAGGTAACTGACGTTCTTGAAGAGAATAAAAATGGAAAATTTGCAATATTCGAAATACCTGAAAATTTTCCAGAAATGATATTAAATCAATAAGCAGATTTAGGAAGTGCAGTGAATCCATATCTAGATGCTTTATACTGAATTTGCAGAACACCAAAGACTAAGAGATGATCTTAAAGTAGCCAGAGAAAAAAGGTCATTATAAAGAAGTTATTATTCTGACAGTTGACTCCTCAAATGCAGCAATACAAGCCAGAAAGATAATGGAATTTGATATGGTTGGGTTGTGTCCCCACCCAAATCTCATCCTGAATTTCCACGTGTTGTTGGAGGGACACAGTGGGAGGTAATTGCATCTGAATCATGGGCGCAGGTCTTTCCTGTGCTGTTCTTGTGATATTGAATAAGTCTCACAAGATCTGATGGTTATAAAAAGGGAAATTTCCCTACACAAGCGCTTCTCTCTGCCTGGTGCCGTCCATGTGAGATGTGACTTACTCCTCCTTGCCTTCCGCCATGATTGTGAGGCTTCCCCAGACGCGTGGAAATGTAAGTTTAATTAAACCTCTTTCTTTTGTAAATTGCCCAGTCTCAGGTATGTCTTTATCAGCAGCATGAAAACGGATAATACAGAGTAAAATCCTTAAAATGCTGAGATAAAATACCCCTGAAGTTAGAATTGTCCATCCAGCTAAACTATTAGGTTGGTGCAAAAGTAATTGCAGTTTTGCCATTAAAAGGAATGTCAAAAACCCCAATTATTTGCACCAACTGAAATATTTTCCAAAAATTGTTCGACATTTTCAGAAAAATAAAAAATGACAGAATTTACAATGAATAGAACTATTTAAAAGAACTTTATGAAGAGATTTCAGGAAGAAGAAAATTGATTTCAGAAAGTCTGAGTTGCAATAAGAAATATAGTAAAGAAAATGTTAAACTTAGACATAAATTGGAAAAAGAAACCATTAAATTGCACTATAAATTTTTTCAATTTTTGGATTAAAAAAACTTAGACCAAAATAACATATTTATCTGGAGGAGATAATCAAAGTATTTTAAATGTTTTATATTGTTCAAAATGAGTATAAAGATACTTACTATTGGCCGGGCATGGTGGCTCATGCCTTTACTCTCAGCACTTTGGGAGGCCGAGGCGGGCAGATCACGAGGTCAGGAGTTCGAGATCAGCATGGCCAACATAGTGAAACCCCATCTCTACTAAAAATAAAAAAAATTACCTAGGCTTGGTGGCAGGTGCCTGTAGTCCCAGCTACTTAGGAGGCTGAGGCAGGAGAATCGCTTGAACCCAGGAGGCAGAGGTTGCAGTGAACCGAGACTGTGCCACTGCACTCCAGCTCGGGCAACAGAGCAAGACTCCATCTCAAGGAAAAAAAAAAAAGATATTTACTCTCTTTGCACTAATTTAAATGTGATTGTTAAATTTGTTAGATTATTATTGAAAGAAACAGAATGTAAAACTTCCAAATAAGTGGGAGGAAGAAAGAGAGAGGGAGAAAACCCCCCAAATAAGTAAAAGCAAAAAACTGCAATTTCTCCCAAAAGAAGCCCAAAAAGAAGAAAGGGAGACAAAAAGAGAAAAGTGACAAAAATCGAAGATACAAAATAAGATGGTAGAAATTATCCCAAATATATCAACAGTCTCAGCCAATGTTACTAGACTAAGCTCTCAATTTAAAAGACGAATATTTTGAAAATGGAGAAAAAGATCCACCTATGCACTAACTAGAAGCAATACACCTAAAACACAGGATACAAAAGTTGAAAATAAAAAGTGAAGAAAAATATGCTAACCAAATAACCTAAAAGAAAACTGTTGTGGCTATATTATCAGCCAAAATTGATATGTAAACAAAAGCAATACTAGAGATAAAGAGGGTCATTGCCATTAATAAAGTTAACATTTATTAAGAATATATAACAATCCTGATTATATGCACCTAATACCATATATAAATCTGAAATTTACAGAACTACAAAGAGAAACCATAAGAATAACAAGACTCCAACACAACTTTATAATTAATAGATTAATAAATTGATAAAAGTTTGGAAGAGTTGAAAAATACAGTTAATAATATTGACACAACGTAAAACTTATAAGTTGCTGTGCTGGGCTCTGGCAAACTGTTATACTGTAAAAGGGTTAGAAGTTGATTCAGATCTTAATTTTCTTCATCATAAGGATAGCTAAAGTGGTCTGGGTGTCTTCAACCTTACAGGTCAGTCTCATCTGACCTCAGGCAGCTTCATTCATTTACTTTAGCATGACATGACACAAGAAAGTTTGAGAAGAACTGAGATAATGGACTTATACAGAAGACTATGTTAAGTAACCGAACATCATTTTCAAGAATATATGGAACATTTATGAATATTATCGACTATATTGTAAGCCATAAACTAAGTCTCACTATACATCAAAGAATCAGAATTAAGCAAACATGTTCCTTTACAATTACATTAAATTAGAAATCAGTTTCTAAAAGGTAAGTAAAAGTCCATATATTTGGGAATTATAAAAATACATTTCTGGCTGGGCTCAGTGGCTCACGCCTGTAATCCCAGCACTTTGGGAGGCCGAGGTGGGCGGATGGATCATGAGGTCAGGAGATCGAGACCATCCTGGCTAACAAGGTGAAACCCCGTCTCTACTAAAAATACAAAAAAAAAAAAAAAAATTAGCCGGGCGTGGTGGTGGGCGCCTGTGGTCCTAGCTACTTAGGAGGCTGAGGCAGGAGAATGGCGTGAACCCGGGAGGCAGAGCTTGCCTTGAGCCGAGATCGTGCCACTGCACTCCAGCCTGGGCCACAGAGCGAGACTCTGTTTCAAAAATAAATAAATAAATAAATAAATAAATAAATAAATAAATAAATAAATATACACTTCTAAATACCCATGAGTAAAAAAACCTGAAAGCTGAAATTTAAAATGAAACTGAAATACCACTTACTTGTAGATTATAGTTACGTGATACTTAGAGGAAAATATGTAGCCTTAAGTGTATATATTAGGAAACCAAAGGTGAACATTGATTTATTGAATACTAATCATAAAAAGTTAGGAAATAAACATCAATAAGCCAAATTAGAAAAAGAAAAACTGGCTGGGTTTGGTGGCTTACACCTGTAATCCCAACACTTTGGGAGGCTGAGGCGGGAGGATCAGGAGTCTAGGAGTTTGAGAGCAGCCTAGGCAACAGAGTGAGATCCCACTTCTACAAAATTTTTTTAAAAATTAGCCAGGCAGGGCTGGGCGCGGTGGCTCACGCCTGTAATCCCAGCACTTTGGGAGGCCCAGGTGGGCGGATCACGAGGTCGGAGATCGAGACCATCCTGGCTAATATCGTGAAACCCCGTCTCTACTAAAAATACAAAAAAATTAGCCGGGCGTAGTGGCGGGCGCCTGTAGTCCCAGCTGCTCCGGAGGCTGCGGCAGGAGAATGGCATGAACCTGGGAGGCGGAGCTTGCAGTGAGCCAAGATCGTGCCACTGCACTCCAGCCTGGGCGACAGAACGAGACTCTTCTCAAAAATTAGCCAGGCAGGCCGGGCACAGTGGCCCACACCTCTAACCCCAGCACTTTGGGAGACCAAGGCGGGCAGATCACCTGAGGTAACGAGTTTGAGACCAGCCTGGCGAACATGGTGAAACCCCTTCTCTACTAAAAATATAAAAATTAGGTGGGCGCAGTGGCAGGCACCTGTAATCCCAGCTACTCAGGAGGCTGAGGCATGAGAATCACTTGAACACAGGAGGTGGAGGTTGCAGTGAGCCAAGACCGTGCCACCTCACTCTAGCCTGGGCAGCAGGCTGGAATGAAGTCTCAAAAAAAAAAAAATTAGCCAGGCATTGTGGCACACACCTATAGTCCCAGCTATTTGGGAGGCTGAGGTGGGAGGACCACTTGAGCCTGGGAGGTCGAGGCTGCAGTGAGCTGTGATCCGCCACTGCATTCCAGCCTGGACGGCAGAGTGAGACCCTGTAACAACAACAACAACAACAACAAACAAACAAACACCAAAAACAGAAAAAGAGCAACGATTAATTAAAGAAAAAAGAAGAAATAGAATTAACAAAACTCAAATTAATTCTTTAAAAACACTGATCATACTGCCAAACGTCTAGAATAGTAATGTGCAACGGAGGGCAATTTTGCCCCCCAATGCCCTCCCTGTTCCTCTTTCCTAGGAGATATTTGGTAACGTCTGGAGACATTTTGTGTATACAGGCACAACCTGTGGTGGGGATGCTAGTGGCATCTAGTAAATAGAAGCCAGAAATGCTGCTAAACATCCTACAACGCACAAGACAGCCGCCTACAAGAAAGAAGCCTCGGACCCAAAATGTCAAGGTTGAGAAATGCCATCTAGATAGATGGATCAAGAGTAGAGAGAAGTCACAAGTAAACAATATTAAGGATGAGAAATGGGGCCATGTCTGCAAGTACTGCAAAACTTAAAAAAGAAAATAAGAATATTAACTTCATGCAAAAATGGGTGAACATTTAGATGACATAGATAAATTCCCAGAAAAGTATAAACTACCAAAATAAACTCAAGAAGAAACAGAAAAATGAAAAGATTCTACAACGATTAAAAAATGGTCTCAGTGTAAAACTTTCCTGCAGAGAACAGGCATGCTCCTACACTATGGGTATAGAGTGTAGTATAGCACATACTCTGAAGGGCAATTTGCCATATTTACAAAAATTATAAATGTTTTATTCTGTGACATAGCACTCTCATTTTTAAGAATCCATTCTATAGATACAGCAGGATATATATTAAATGATATTTTACCAGCATACATGCAGTATTATTTATAATAGCAAAAGTTTGACGACAATAGAAATCTGCTTAAATGAATTTTGCTATAACTGCCACATGGAATATTACAAAACTACAAAGAAGAATAAAGATAAGCTCTATAGACTGATGTAAAAAGGTCTCTGCGATATATGTTAAAAATGTAAGAAAAGCATCCTGGCGCAGTGGCTCACGCCTGTAATCCCAACACTTTGGGAGGCCGAGGCGGGCGGATCACAAGGTCGGGAGAACAAGACCATCCTGGCCAATATGGGGAAACCCTGTCTCTGCTAAAAATACAAAAATTAACTGGGCCTGGTGGCATGTGCCTGTAATCCCAGCTACTCAGGAGGCTGAGGCAAGAGAATCGCTTGAACCAGGGAGTCGGAGGTTGCAGTGAGCAGATATCACGACACTGCACTCCAGCCTGGCGACAGAGCGAGACTCTGTCTCAAAAAAAAAAAAGTAAGAAAACCATAGTGCAGAACAATGTATAATGTATGCTGCCTTTTGCATACGGATGGCAGGGGTGGAGGAAGAAAAATATGCGTATATTTGTACTTACTTATATTTGTATAAAGAAAATCAGTGCACACGTGCACGCGCACACACACACACAAAATCAAGAGAATGGGTGAATCTTGAGAGGGCTGGAACATGAATTTTCAGTCAAAGAATAGAAAAAGAAAATTCTCAATTCGTTTTATGAGGTTATGATAATCTTGATAACAAAAACAGATGACAACAATGGTTTAAGATTGGAAAATACTCAAAGCCACTCAAGAATATAGGTATAAAAAACTCCAAACAAAACATTAGTAAAACCATTACTAAAATATATTTAAAACATCTTGACAAGTTTGCATTCCAGAGGCATAAATAATTTGAGTACATTAAAGATCTCAATAGATGAAGAAATGCAATAGAGAAAAGTCAACATTTATTTATTAAAAAACAACCAACCAAACAAAAAACCTCCCAGGAAACTGAGTCTAAAAAACATCTTACTTAACGAGAGCAAAAAACTATCCAAAACCCTACCACAAACATCATATATAAATACTAAATGCATAAGCCTTCAAATCAATAGCAAGAGAGGGATGCCTGTTATTATTGCTTTTATTTGGCATGTCTCTGTGGCTTCCTTATCAGGAAAATAAATTGAAAAAGAATTATAACTACCTATATAATATAATGTATTTCAAAAATCCCAAAGAAATTACAGAAATATTAGAATTAGAGAGTTTATAGGGATGCCATACATAAAAATCAGTATGCAAAAGTGATTTCATTTTTACACGATAGTAAAGGGTGCAACTTAAAATAGTTAACATTTAGAAATAAATAAATGGTGCCTTGATGTAAATCTAGCAAAGATGTGCAAAACTCTGCTGAAAAACATTAAAGTTGATCTAAATAAATGGAGAAAAGTACCATGTTTGTGAATAACAAAAAAATGCAATGTTGTGAAGATATCATTTTTTTCCCAAATTTATTTATAGTCTCAATGTAATTCCAATCTAAATCCCAACACGCTTTTTAATGAAGGCTGAAAGACTGATTCTAAAATTTATTTGAAAGTGTAGAGGGCCAAGAATAGCTAAAATAACTCTTGAAGGAGAAGTGTAAAGTTGTCAACATTGGATTTGTTGGGACACTATTGTGTTCGCACAGTGATAGATAGACCAGTAGCACAGAATAGAGAGCCCAGAAGAAATCCAGAGTAACATTGGGTCACTGAGGTGGCACTGTAGATGGGTGGTGACATTATGGCCTATTAAATAAGCTATATTGGCACAACTGCATAGCCATCTGGATAAACAAAACAAAACAAAAACCATTCCTTTTTCACATGAAACACAACAATTATGATTAAGGTTGTAACTGTGAAAGACAAAAATTTACAATTTTTAGAGGAAAATGTAAAAGAATATCTCTGTGTCATTGAGATTTGGGGAAGATTTTTAAAACAAGGTATAAAAATCACAAACAATAAAGGAAAAGCTAGATAAACTCAGTAAAATTAAAAATCTTTCTTCAAAGAAAGGGTAAAGAGAATGAAAAGACAAGTTACATACTGGAATAGAATCCAGAATATTTAAATAACGTGTTTGAACTAATAAGGAAGAGGCAAATAACTCAATAGGAAAATGGCAAAAAAGACATTATGGCCAACGAACAATAAATCTTCCATTTATCAAGACATATCATTTAAAAATTAAAAGACAAGCTTCAGACTGAGAAAAGATATTTGCAACTCATATAACCAACAGGGGATTAGAATGGAGGATATCTGAAACATTCTTTTTTTTTTTCTTTAAGACAGAGTCTTGCTCTGTTGCCCAGACTGGAGTGCAGTGGCATGATCTCAGCTCACTGCAAGCTCCGACTCCCGGGTTCACGCCATTCTCCTGCCTCAGCCTCCCGAGTAGCTGGGACTACAGGCACCTGCCACCACACCTGGCTAATTTTTTTGTATTTTTAGTAGAGACGGGGTTTCACCATGTTAGTCAGGATGGTCTCGATCTCCTGACCTCGTGATCCACCCACCTCGGCCTCCCAAAGTGCTGGGATTACAGGCGGAGCCACCACGCCTGGCTGGATATCTGAAACATTCTTAAACATCAGTAAGGAACAGATAAACCACGTGCCAAAAAAATGCACAAAAACTATAAACAGGTTATCATACATACAAAACCTAATGGCCATATGGAAAGATGGCGAACCTCATTAATAATCAGGGAAAAGTAATAAGGTACATTTCAGACACTAAAAAGTAATAAGGTACATTACATACACATTTGGCAACAGCAAAAATGTTAACATCTGACAAAATCCATTTTGTCTGGAATGTGGAAGAGTTGGCATGCATATTGCCACTGGTGAGTTTGTACTTTATTACTTATACTTTGAAAAATTATTTGACAATGTCCACTTGAAAATGTCTGTTGAAGGGATGCATGTTCTTTTATAGAGCAATAACACTGCTAGGTTCATATCCTAGAGAAAATCCCAGACGTGTAAACAAGATTTGTGTGAGAATGTTTGCAGCAGCAGTGTTTATAAAGATGAATAAATGGGTAACATCCTAAATGTCCTACAACAGGCAGTGAATATGGTCAGCTGTAAACTCTTACAAGGCACAGAGCCCTTGCCTAAACACTGTGCTAAGAGAGTAAACTCTAGCCTGCTCTCACCACACCAGGCCACCTTCTAAAGGCAGCCCCAGCTCCCAAGCTAAGTCTTTGCTAAAGAAAATGCAACGGTCTGGCGCAGTGGCTTGGCTCCCTCCTGTAATCCCAGCACTTTGGGAGGCCAAGGTGGGTGGATCATGAGGTCAGGAGACCGAGACCATCCTGGCTAACATGGTGAAACCCCATCTCTACTAAAAATACAAAAAAATAGCCAGGTGTGGTGGCACACACCTGTAATCCCAGCTACTTGGGAGGCTGAGGCAGGAGAATAGCTTGAACCCGGGAGGTGGAGGTTACAGTGAGCCGAGATCGCACCACTGCACTCCAGCCTGGGTGACAGAGCAAGACTCCATCCCATAAAAAGAAAACGCAATAATGCCAAACTGCAAAATGTATATTGTTCAACCCATCTTGCCAAACCATTTTCAGCAATTCTTCACCTAATTCCCCTTCTATAATTTTCCATTTTCACATACCCCTCTTAGTCCTTTTTTTGTTCCCCTTTTGCACTTCCCAATAATCCTTTTTTATTCTTTATCTGTTTTCCCCTTAAAAACCTCAGTCATCTTCCTCTTAGTTGGAGTTGAGCTAGGATTTATACTGGAGTCTCTCTCCCCTACAGCAGCAGTATGAATAAAATATCTGTCTTGCTACCTTTAATAAGTGTCTGGCTCTCTTTTTCTTTGGAAATAAAAATATCTCATTTTATTCCTATACTGGAATACTGCACAGCAATGAAAATCAATAAACTAAAGCCACATGTATTAATATGGATATATATTACAAATATAATGATATTGAGAAAAAGGAAAGCTGCCAAAAGTGCACATAGAATATTTATGTAAAATTTTAAAAAAATGACACTGCACTATATATTGTTTAGAAACACATACCTAAGTAGTAAAAATACACAGAAATGAAAGAAAATGATAACACCAGATTCTGGATGATGTTTACCTCTGAGAGAGAGGGAAGGAAGGAAGGAGGGGAATGCATCAGACAGTGTGCACACAAGACAAGGGGCTGTGACTATCTTAGTTTTATTTCTCAAACTAAGTGGTGGGTACATAGTTGGCCATTGTACTAAGCTTGATGTCTTCTTAAATACATGAAAGTTTTCACAATATGTGTAATAGATGACTCCCAACCTAGGGGAAATTTACCAACTACATTAGAAGTCCTAGCATATATACAAAATGTCAGTGAAAAAGGAGGCAGATATAGATTAGCACAAAGCCTAGAAAAAAGAAGGAAAAATTATGGAGCATGACCCCCAAAACCAATTTAGAGACAATTTCCCGACCCAGGCCCAAGTTCTGGTGTTTCCATTTCTCTGTTGCTGAAACTGATGTATCAGGCTAAGACATACAGTGCACTCACTCTGATCTGACTTCAATCTCGTCAAGTGATGGCATCATTTGGTCTCCTGTACAGATATTGTCTACAGGGAGAGAATTTACTGATCATGTTCAAATAAGTATCTGGTCTAGTTGCCACTTTATTTCTAATTTTCAGTTAATTGGTGGGCATTTTGACCTTTTAATTACAATCTTGTTGACTTCCATAGCACGATTCAGCATCCAAGCCCTGAATCTGCACAGACAAGGGATAGGCTCTGAGTCACAGTGAATTTACAAGGAAGGTCATACTACTTTGAGCACCTTTTATATGGCTGGACAATTGCATTCCACTGGTGAAATCCAACCAAGAAGTGCTTTTCATCGAAAGCACAAGCAGTAACCGTACCTATGTGCATACATAACTTATTAAAATGTTCATGTCAGGTGTTGTTGTTTTAGTAGAATTGGAGGTATATTTACTTCCTTGTACCTTGAAGGCAGGCATGTACTTCCAAGTTCCTCTGTCTCAAGGGGGTTTGCTTATAGCATTTACCCTCTGAGTTAAAAATGAAAACTTCAAGTCCCTGCTCTTCAACCCCAGGACATTTCTCTGTCTTCAATTGTTTCTTTGGGAGTTTAATTATAGGTGGGCAAAAAGGGAGAAGTTGATGCTGGGAGTCAAAAGAGCAAATCTTGACATGGAGAAAGAGAAAGGGAAAGAGGCAAGTAGGCAGGAGAGAAAGAGAGAGAGAGAATATATAACTTTTTCAAGCATGAGAAGATAATGAGTGTTTAGGGCGTATCTTTGAGGGACAGAGATATATGCCCCACTTACACTTGCTATGCTACATTGGAGGTTAGCTGTGCTATGAAACATCTGTGGAGGGAGACTTCCAAGCACAGACACTTTGAGAGGACAGCCAAAAGCCTCTGTGGAAGAACCTTGGAGAGGACTCCCGTGAGAACCAGATCAACAGCAAAATGCAGAAGGAACAAAGATGGGGACAGGAACCTCATTTTCTGGGCAACATGAAAGACTACTTCTAAGGAGGTAGAGGACCTCCTAAAACACTTTCATAATTGAATTTCATGCAACCTTGAGAAGTGGGGCCATGACATGAGAATTAATTTGATTTACACAAATAAAGCAATGTAAAATTTCTTGTAGTAGAGTGTTGAATAATTCATATCTACTATACTACAGTGGTGAATTAATGTTTTCAATAATTGCTTGATTTCACATTATCGTATTTGAAGGCCAGTCCTCCTTTGGAGTATGCAAATAAGAAACTTAAGAGACAGAGGGGTTAGTACTTTATTTAGGATCCTGTCATTGTTACCTGTTACTGCCTACAAAGACCCATATTTAGACCATACAGTCTACTTAGAAATACCCACCCAAATGCACAGGCATCTCTTTGCAGAAATAAGCCATGCTTGTGCTTTGTTGCCACTGCCCTGCTTTTTAGCCTCCAATTTTACACTGGAGCATTTACATCAAGTAAACCTTTCTTGATGTAGGGAAGATATTATGGGAAAAGACTGAGTATTATAACATAGGAAAGAATTACCTTTCTCACACCACATGTATTTGCTTTTGCCATATTTAATTGTTTGCCTACAATGTGGCAGCATAGTTTTAGACACTGGGGTTATAAAGAGGAATGCATGAGTCTCTGCCCTCAAGAAGATTCAAATCAGTGCAATTCCATCTACTCTGCATTGCTGAATTAAGTCAGAAAAGTCTCAGGTCCTTCATTAGCAGTGGTTGGCAGAGCTACATTGTTCTCGGATGCTGGCTGCTAGGCGAGTTGGTGTTTTATTTTTCAGAAATTTATAGCCCTAAAGTGTTATTAGGGCCAGAGGGAAGGGGGAAAGGGCAACTTTCCCTCTTAAGACTTTTGTTTAATGATTGCACCAGATTCACTATGGCTCAAATGGCTGACACTAAGTACACTAAATATTAAGAAAGCAATATCACAAAATTGACTTTTTAAGTGTTGACATTGTGTCCTGATTATTTTACTTGGCTGCTGTTTGTCAATGTTAGCTGCACTAAAATGATACAAATTTCTGTCTTGAAAATTTTATTGTCCTCATTTTCTACCCATGATAATTAAAGAAGTAAAGATAATTGGGCAAATGAAGATGAAAAAAGCATGGTAATCACTTGTCATTCTATTCTAATCAGCAGATAATTCATCTAATTTAGACACATTACTATTTAATCTACCACCTTTCAATTTGGGTAATGTTGCACTCTAATCAGGAGAATTAAAAGCTTATTCAATTATAAAGGGATGTTCCATAAGGTGGAAAAACAGGAAGATCTTAGTTATTTCTATGTGCATTTTGCTTAATAGCATTACTTATGTCACCAGTGAAAGGCAAACTCTTCAGCTCTACTTTTGGAGGGCTTCAATGAAAAGTAAATAAAAGCTTGCTTAATCAATACCTCATGTTCAATAGGAAAAAAGAAACGATTCTAAAGAAAAGTGAAAACAAAAGGCTCTACTGAAATTTCAAATTGGTCTCATTTCTCCAAAATTAAATATACTCATATGAAATCATTCCACTGGTTCTTTCAGATTTAGTAATTTTATCACACTTCATTCATAATAGCCTTTTCCTTTCATCTGTAGATACAAGAGAAAAAAGCCCACCAAACAACATAATGACAAACAGCTGTTGGATATGATAGACATTTCCTAGGGAAAAATATGCTTAATATTATTTTTTCATGTTTTGTAAGTTGCTTGTCATGGAACAGTTTGTTTATAATGTATTTGTCATTTTACATAAAAAATGGGAGATTATGCAATGAGTCTAATTACATTCATTCTGCATGTTAAAAGCAGTTTTTCCCTGAGTATGGCTAGGAAAAGAATTCCTACCAAAAATTCAAAGTTTACACCAGTTCTGCACTGCTGTCTCTTACCTGTCATGCTGGGCAGCAGCAGTTGATTCTGACATTTTTGTTTTTGTATATTTCCAAGAGATCTCAGAAAAGCACTGTAGTGGAGCCATAATATCTGAGACACAGAATTCTCCCTATACCCCAAGAACTCTCAAGGGTCTTGTGGGGTCCCACTAGGATAGGCTTCAAAGAAAAGGGCTTTGTCACTTTTCTGACAAAACATTAAACGCAAGAGGAAAGCCCTTCTACTTGTTCTATACTAAAATTCAATTTCATTTCAAAAATAAAAGTTGAGTTAAACTATTTGCTACTTGTTGAATAGATTCTTAAGTTTTTCAAGGAGCTAAATCTTTTCCTAGCCAGAATGTCTAAAAAGTCAGGGGTCATTTTTGGTAAATGTTTAGCTATGATTATGTTTTTGTTTTCTAAGATGCTGGCTGAGTAGCTTGGATACAGATGTAACCGTTAATAGAAGGATTTGAGGATTTTATTTTTAAATCTAAAATTTTACAAATCTACAGAGTTGTCTGAGTTGTCTAAGAACATTAGAAAAGAATTGATTCATTCTTGGGCCTCTGCTTTGTCCTCTTGCTGTTGCTGAGAGAACTGCCCTAGGCAATTTATCAAGCAGAGGTACCCATTTACTATACCACACGACCCAAGACTGAGCCAAGGGATTCCATGGCCACTGACCTACAATGTGATGTTATAGGAGCTTTGTCAATTCACTGGATGAGTCAGATTCTTTTTTTTTTAAATCTAGAGATTATTGAGAAAACCACATAGTTGGTAGTAGGTTTGGACTGAGAAAGGCAGAGGGAAGCAGAGGGATAAAGAATACCTAAGAAATACAGTAGAATATTAAGACAGGGATCCATGTATAAATGCTTCCAAAGGAACATGTAATAGAGTTCATCTTTTGTCATCATCACAGCTGCTGTCACTCAGACCACCAGAGCTATTGCTGCATCATGAAAAATTTCTACCTCAACGAAGCTTGGAAGGTCATTTATTCATTCAGCAGATATTTATTGAGCACTTCCTATATGTCAGGCACTGTTTTTAATGTGGACAACACAGCAATAAAATAGACAATACATCATACCCTGCATGGGTTTATATTTTAATGGAGAGAGGCGAAAAGTAAAGAAACTAAAATAGTAAAATGCATGGGAGAGAGGAGAAAAGTAAACAAACTAAAATAGTAAAGTGCATGGTATATTAGAAGAGGAAATTGCTACGGAGAATATAAAGCAAGAAGAGGAACATGGAGGGTAGAGAAAGTGACAGATGGTTGCAGCGTTAACCAAGATGGTAAGGAAAGGCCTGGGAAGGTTATACATTTGAACAAAGATCTGCAAGAAGTGAAGGAGCTATCCACGAGGATACATATGGGGCAAGAGTGTTGCAGACAAAGGAAAGAACTAATGCAAAGATCCTGAGGTGGGGATAAGCCCCACATGTGAGAGGAACACCATGGTTGCATCAGATTGAGTGAGGGGCAGAATAGGAGGAAGTGAGGTCAAAAGGGTGGGTGCAGAATTTGTAGGGCCTTGTAAGCCATTGTACAGATTTCTGCTTTTACCCTGAGGGTGGTTGGGGAACACGTGGGAAAATTTTCAGCAGTGATCAGACTCATGTTTTAATAGGATCCCTATGGATTCTGTAATAAATATAGAAAGTAGCGGGTAGGGGCAAGCAGTCATGAGATCATTCCAATAATTCAGATGAGAGACGGTCGTGGTTTGGACCACAGTAGAGACTGTGATGAAGGTGAATAGTGTTTGGATTCTGGGCATATATTTTGGGTATGTCCATGTTCCTTTGCGAATTATGTAGATTCTTATTTACTGAACTCAAGAAGAGACTACATGTGGAATAAAAATGCATTAATCAGAAAAATTAATTGACTGGCTTCTGCTTCTGGAAGGATTGAGTAGAAGTACTTATCCCTATTCCCTCTGTTAAATACAAGTAAAACTCCGGACGTTATACATAAGAAAACTCTGGACATTATATGGAGAGAAGCAGCCAACCAGCTAGGGCCCTAGAGACTCAGAAAACAACAAAGCAGTGAGTTCCCCGGTTTCCCTTTCTGTATCATATATTCCTTACTGGGAACTGAAGAAGCCAGAGACCTGAAAATGCCAATGAGCACGGACAAAAAGGCCTTCTCTCTCTAAAAGGACCAGGATAGGGAAGCCTAGCAAGACAGAAAACTTTTAGCTATAACCTCTCTATTCCATTCAAACAGCATGAAGAAAACTGTGGCCTCCCTCCCACCCATGCAGACAAACTCACTGTGGGAAGTTACACTTCCTCACTCAATAAACTGCAATGAGGCATTCCAAAATTCCCACCGGGGCAGTGTTAACAAAGTCCAAGTAGCGAGGCAGGATTTTCATCCCAAAACCACCCATCCTGATAACAAGGCCCCACCGTTTATCCCATGGTGGTATCTGCAGAGATCACTGGAGGACCCTGGACTTCTTACCCAGCTGTAATGAGGCACTCTTCCTCTCACCACATGGGGAAGAAGATGTCAGAAGAAACTTAGTGGAGAGTCACGACACTCAGTTTCACCAGCAGCAATGAGACCACCCCACGCTAGTGTCAGTGGAGACCCCATCAGCAGCAGAAACTCTCCCCCAATCTAGCAGTAACAAGGACTTCCCACCTGTCCTCAGGAGGCTGGGTAGGGAACCTAGACTTCTGCTTCCACCTAGCGGTAACAAGGCAGTGCCCCTCTACACTTGTCAGAGCTCTTAGAAAAACCAGTTAAAATAGTCTAAATATGATTGAGTCTCCTTAACATAAGACAAAAATGTCCAGGTTTCAATTTTTAAAAATACTATCAGCCAGGCGCGTGGCTCACGCCTGAAATCCCAGCACTTCGGGAGGTCGAGGCGGGCGGATCACGAGGTCAGGAGATCGAGACCATCCTGGCTAACACGGTGAAACCCCGTCTCTACTAAAAATACAAAAAATTAGCCGGGCGCGGCGGCGGACCTGTAGTCCCAGCTACTCGGGAGGCTGAGGCAGGAGAATGGTGTGAACCCGGGAGGCAGAGCTTGCAGTGAGCCCAGATAGCGCCACTGCACTCCGGCCTGGGCGAAAGAGCAAGACTCGGTCTCAAAAAAAAAAAAAAAAAAAAAAAAAACCATCACATCATAGTAATACTAAGAACCAGGATGATTTCAACTGAATGGCAAAAGACAATCAATGAATGCTAACACCAAGAGAACCAAGATGCAACAATGATCTGAAAGAGATTTTAAAGCAGCCATAACAAAAATACATAGATGAGCAATTATGAACATGCTTGAGATGAATGATGAACTAGAAAGCCTCAGCAAGGAAATAAAAGATATGAAGAAGAACCAAAGGGAAATTTTAGAACAACCACCAAAATGAACACCTCAGTGGATGGGCTCAAGAGCAGAATGGAGAGGACAGGAGAATCAGTGAACTGGGAGACTGAGCAATGAAAGTTACCCAGTGTGAACAAAAGAGAGGAAAGTAGACTGAACGAATAAACAGAGCCTTGGAAATATGTGGGATTATAACAGATCTAATATGTATGTCATTGGTGTTTCCAAAAGAGAGGAGAAAAAGAATGGGACTGAAATGGTATTCAAAGAAATCATAGCTAGAAATTCCCCAGATTCAGCAAGAGACATAAACCTGCACATTAAAAGAAACTGACTGGCGGGGGGCGGTGGTTCATGCCTGTAATCCCAGCACTTTGGGAGGCTGAGGTGGGCGGATCACGAGGTCAGGAGATTGAGACCATCCTGGCTAACATGGTGAAACCCCGTCTCTACTAAAAATACAGAAATAGCCGGGCGTGGTGGCGGGTGCCTGTAGTCCCAGCTACTCGGGAGGCTGAGGCAGGAGAATGGCGTGAACCCGGGAGACGGAGCTTGCAGTGAGCCGAGATCACGCCACTGCACTCCAGCCTGGGCGACAGAGCGAGACTCCGTCTCAAAAAAAAAAAAAAAAAGGAAGCTGACTGAACCAAAAGCAGGATAAACCCAAAGACATTCATAGCTTGAATGGGTATTGAATTTTGTCAAATGCCTTCTCTGCATCAATTGATATGATCATGTGATTTTTCCTCTTTGATCTTTTAATATGATTGATTTTCAAATATTAGACCTAACTTCCATCCCTGGAATAAACTACACTTGCTGGTGGTGTATAATTCTCATAATATATTGCTGAATTTGATTTGCTAATATATTGCTGAGGTTTCACATCTGTATTCATGAGGGAAACCAAAATCTCTGAAAGATTTTTTTAAAGATATAAATAAATTTATTCTAAAATTTATGTGGACAGGCAAGGCAACTAGATATAGCTAAAACAATTTTGAAAAAGAGAAATAAAGTGAAAGTAATCAGTCTACCCAATTTCAATACTTATTATATAGCTAAGATAATCAAGATTGTGTGGTATTGTCAGAAGAACAGACACATACATATCAATGGAACAGAATAGAGAACTCAGAAACAGACTCACAAGAAATATGCCCAGCTGATTCATCACAAAGTTGCTAATGTATTTCAATAAAGAAAAGAGCCTTTACAACTAAAGATGCTGGAGCAATTGGACATCCACAGATGAAAAAATAAGCATTAATCTAAGACCTATATCTTATATAAAAATTAACTCAACGTAGATTACAGACATAAATGTAAAATGCAAAACTATAAAATGGAAAAAAAAAACATTGGGCTCTAGCACTAGTCAAAGACTTCTTAGACTTCACATCAAAATCACTACCTATAAAAGAAAAAAATGGAAAAATTGTTATCAAATTTAAAACTTTAGTCTGTGAAAGACCCAGACCCTGTTAAGAGGATGAAAAGATAAACTACAGATGGAAAGAAAATATTTGCAAAACACGTATCTGACAAAAGACTAGTATCTAAAAATATATAATGAACCCTCAAAATTCAACAGTTAAAAAAATTCCATTGGAAAATGGGCAAAAGACATGAACAGATATTTCACTAAACAGGTTATACAGATTGCAAATAAGTACATTGAACGGTGTTCAACGTCATTAGACATTAGGAAAACACAATTAAAAACCACAAAGAGAGGCAGGTGCAATAGTGCATGGCTGTAGTCTCAGCTACTCAGGAGGCTGACACAGGAGGATCCCTTGAGCTCAGGAGTTGAAGACCAGCCTGGGCAAGATAGTGAGACATCATCTCCAAAAAATAAAAAAAATTTAAAAAAAAACTACAAAGAGTTATCACTATATAGCTATAAGAATGGCTAAAATAAAAAATAGTGACAACACCAAATGCTAGTGGAGATGTAGAGAAACTGAATCATTCACACTGTACTGGTGGGAATGTAAAATGGTACAGTCTCTTTGGAAAATAGTAAGGCAATTTGTTGAAAAAGGAAGCATGCAATTACCATATAACCCAGCAATTTCTTCTGAGCATTTATCTCACACCTATACCTGAATTTTTATAGCAGCATTGTTCATAGTCACCCCAAACCAGAAACAACCCATATGTCCTTCACTGGTGACTAGTTAAGCAAACTATGGTATACTCATATCATGGAATACTAACTCAGCAATAGAAAGGAACTGACTAATGATACATGCAACATGAATTAATCTCCAGAGAATTATGCTGGGTTTTAAAAGCAAGTTCCAAAAGGTTACATATTGTATAATTCTATTTATATATCATTCTTTAAATGACAAAATTATAGAAATGGAGAACAGTTAGGCCGGGCGCTGTGACTCACACCTATAATCCCAGCACCTTGGGAGGCCAAGGCAGATGGATCACGATGTCAGGAGATCGAGACCATCCTGGCCAACATGGTGAAACCTCATCTCTACTAAAAATACAAAAATTAGCTGGGCATAGTGGCACGTGCCTGTAATCCCAGCTACACAGGAGGCTGAGCAGGAGAATCGCTTGACCAGGGAATTGGAGGTTGTAGTGAGCCAAGATTGTGCCACTGCACTCTAGTCTGGGCAACAGAGTGAGACTCCGTCTCAAAATAAAAAAAAAGAAAAAGAAAAAGAAAAGAAAAGAAATGGAGAACAGTTTAGTGGTCATCAGGTGTTGAGGAGGTGGAGGCAGGAAGGAAGTGGGTGGGATTATAAAAGGGCAACATGAGATCCTTGTGGTGATGGAAATATTCTGTAGCTTGACTGTGTCAATGTCAATGTAATATAGTACCTATTGTGATATTTTACTGTGGTTTTGATAGCTGTCACCATTAGAGGAAATGAGTGAAAGATCTCTGTATATTTCTTATAATTACATGTTAATCTATAATTATCACAAAATAAAAAGTTTAATTTTTAAAAAAAGCAAATACATGAAAATCAGTATGGAAAAATAAACAAAGTGGTGCTAACCAATCTGAGTCCAAGATTGAAGTTGTGCTATTACCAACATTGGCAAGTAATTATAATTAATTTAAAATCGAATTAAATATTTTTTCTTTCAAAAATATTTGTTTTCTTCCAGGTAATGAAAAACCTACATAATCCTTCCCCCTTGTGCTTTTGCACCAATTCAACAACAACGCCTTTGCAAAAACAAGGAAAGGCACTGAAATGTACCCTTTCCAAGATCTCAAACATATTCTGAAAGTGGCCAGATAATGTCCTTCATGTTCACTGAATTAATAACTGAACTAACATTGTTTGTAAAACCTTGAGCTGAATTGGTCTGGCCCTTTCCTAGTGCTTGTTCAGAGTTGCAATTTTATACTCATAATGTAATTTACTTGATTAACAACTCCTCTGGCTTGTAAACTCCAAAAGGACATGGTCCATGCCTGGCTTTATTAACTTTGTCTCCATATGGTCTATCCCAGAGTCCGGTGCATATAAGTCTACCATATACAATAGATGCTTGATGAATTGAAGAATGCATTAATAAATGACTCTTTCTGTCTCTGCTCACTTCATCATTACCACTGCCCTAGCAGGAAAGAGCCTCATAGACTTATCTTTCAGCCTAGGGAATGCACTAGGCAGTTAGCTCATTGGGACCTATGGTTAGATTGATCTCGAAGCATCTTTCCCACTCCATTTTTGTTTATAAGGTTAAGGGATATTCAGCTGTACCTAGGGTTGTAGCTGCTGCTGCTTCTACTTCTCCTATTTCTATTAGAAGTGATTTTTCTAAAATGAAAGAAAAAGAATACTTGGTATCCACTCAATTGGAAACAATGCAATTGTAGAAAATAACTTTGCACTCTAGTTCATATAACCTGGATTTAGTTAGGGACTTCCTTTTCTTTGAGCTACACGGCCATTAGTTGGATTTTCCTTATAATTTTTTCTAGTGAGCCCAATAAGTCACAGAGAAAAATACAACTGATCGTCTACCATCGTACCTGCATTTTAATGTTCTAGGATCCAAAACAAGTAACACATTCTATTTTTCTCATTTAATATGACCTTAGGATTTTAAGTTGTTATTCGATCACTATACAGGTATGCTAGCTGTGACCACACTAGCTTTGTTGAAATGTATTTTTGCCTAAAGGATGAAGTTGAAAATACTAAACAATTTTCAAAACAGAAAGTAAGCAGAGAGTAGATGTTTTAACGGACGATCTTGCCCTAAAGATAAAATATGCATTTACTAACTTAGAACTGAAGGCAGTGTAGAAAGCTATATATTTTTATTTGTATAGTCACCAATTATTTTACAAAGAGAGATCATTGAACTATTTGTAATATGTTAATTACGTTGGACATTCACTGCTAATGCACAAATTTTACATTTTTTTTTCAAAACAGAATTTCTGAGCAATCAACAGGAAAAAGAATAGCAATGTAAAGTTCCTATGTAGGAACTACATTTCATATGCAACTATCTTGATTATCAGCGTCTCCTCGAACCTTTCCACCGTCCCCTACCTCCAAAAGCCCACTCTTCTACTTCTGGTCTTAATCTTGATTACCTGTCATAACTTACCACGTACTAAAATTAAAGGGCTAATTTAAAAAAAGGAATGTGGGGTTCAGGTCCTCAAAACTTATGGTTGAGTCACAATCTACCTTTTTAGATTATTTCAGGAAAATTCCAAATAGCAGAAATAAAATTTTGAAGTCAAACTGCTTGCTTTCAATAGTATCCTTCTTAAATTATCACTGAACAGAATCACTGAACAAATCCCCATATCTTCTTTATATAGTACATTTCATACTTTTTTTTGCAAAGTAAAAATGTTAAGACCAAAGAAAGCTTTTCCCCCTCAAATGGACGGTGTTGAAAAAAGATTAAAGGGATCAATGCTTTAGATGGTGACTTTTTTTTGCCTTTTAAATTCTTTTTTCTGTAATTGAATTGTTAGCAGAATAGTTTTCCATATCCATACTTGTGTGTGGATTCTTGGTAATGTAGATTACATTATAAACAAAATGTCTGCATCATAAGCAAAATACCTGCCTCATTTATTTTTGTTCAATTTCAAATAAACTATTGTACTTTTTAGCTTACTTTAAATCATCTCCCTATAAATGTGTCTTACTCCTTAGCTTTTTTATCAGACAGGGTCTCACTGTAACCTACACTGGACTGCAATGGCGCATCCATGGCTAACTGCAGCCTCGACCTCTCAGGCTCAAGCGATCCTACCTCAGCCTTCTTTGCAGTTGTAACCACAGGTGCAGCCACCAATCCCAGCTAATTTTTAAAATTTTTTTGGTAGAGACAAGGTTTCACTATGTTGCTTGGCTGATTTCAAGCTCCTGGGCTCAAGTGATCCACCTGCCTCAGCCTCCCAAAGTGCTGGGATTATAGGTGTGCACCATCACACCTGGCCTTCCTTAGCTTTAGCAGCTTCCATTATAGCTGTGGGAAATGAAAACTGGGTTGGTTAGATAGTAAGCTGTTCACATCCAAATTGTCACCGTTTTACCTTCCTAAATGTTTTGGTGGGGTGGGGGTTGCTTTTTTGTGTGTGTGATTAAAATAATATATTATCATTTAAAATTGTACCACCAGAATGTATAGTAATATCTTTCAAAAGAAGCAAATGGTCAGAATGAATAATATTTCCTAAATATTAGCACTTGGTAGGGTTTCTAAGAAACCCTGAGAAAACTGAGAAAGCATCACCACTTATAAAAATTTCCTGGCCGGGCGCAGTGGTTCACGCCTGTAATCCCAGCACTTTGGGAGGCTGAGGCAGGCAGATCATGAGGTCAGGAGATCGAGACCATCCTGGCTAACACAGTGAAACCCCATCCCTACTAACAAAATACAAAAAATTAGCCAGGTGTGGTGGCGGACGCCTGTAGTCCCAGCTATTCGGGAGGCTGAGGCAAGAGAATGGCCTGAACCTGGGAGGCGGAGCTTGCAGTGAGCCGAGATTGTGCCACTGCACTCCAGCCTGGGCGACAGAGTGAAACTCCGTCTCAAAAAAAAAAAAAAAAAATTTCCTTAAGAATTTAAGTCTGCCTTAGATATTCAAATTAGCATATCTGATTTTCATGAAAAATGAAATTTTAGTAATGTTTTACACAATCTAAATGAGCTACATCTGAAGGGAAGTTGTATGTCAAAGGATTTATAATGACATCTAATCTGAAGGTAAGCTACATTTTAAACAGAGAATATGAACAGAGAATAAGAGCAGAGTTTGTGATTACAAATTACAAGCTTTTGAGAGCATCCAGCCAATTTGAAAATTCTACTATTTCATAGGGTAATGAGCTGCCATTTTCCCCATTAATTGGTGTGTTATTACAATGACAGGATACACTGTAAATATCACTAGGCAGAATAAATGGCATTTGGGAAAAAATAAAAAACTGTCACCGGCTTTTGTCGGTTTTTTGCAGCCCATCTTTGCAACCTTTGACCCCAATTCTGGGAAACAGCATGTCCCTGCAGATTCATGTTGCTCATTAAACAAGGTCTGGTGACTCCGTGAGATAATCATCACCACAGAGTGTAATTGGCCTTTCGGAAGAAAAAAGAAAACTAGGCACATTTATCCATTTATTTGATTCTAGTGCCTGCTGGAAGCAGGCACTGCAATTAAAGAGGAAAAGGAAGCATGCAGAGATGAAAACAGGTAAGAGAGAGTGGAGAGGACCTGCTCAACAAGTAGGCTTGGATCTAGCTTTACATATAGGTACGATCTCTCAGTTCATTTATTCAACAATTTTTTGTGCAATGCCTACCAATTGCCAGCTCTCTGCAAACTGTTAGAATAGGGGAAATGAATAATCATAGAAATGTAAACCAGTAACTCTAGAAAAATAAAGACAAAGGATCTTGGGAGCGAAATTGAGAAAATTTCCAAGGCTATGCTATTTGAGCTAAAGTCTGAAGACGAGAAATACCAGACAAAGAGGGAAAAAGTTATTTCTGAAGGTAGGTATAGCAGAGCAAATGCCCTATGTTAAGAGGAAGCATAGCAAAGACAAATGGAAAAAAGGGTGAGTGTCTGGGGTGGAGAAAGCACAGGGGAAGTGTTGTATGAGTTGAGGCTGGAGATAAGGAAAAAGCCAGACTACGTAGAGCCTTGTAGACCCTCACATGGCCTGTGGAGGGTTCCGAATTCCACTGACTAATATATTACCTCCCTCAAACACATGCCATTGGTCTTGTCACTGGGAAATAAGGCATACTGATTAAGAGTTGGTTGCCCACACTGCTAATTGAAAGTCTTAGGCAGGAATTTGGATGACAAAAGAGCTACAGAAAACTGTGATTCCAAAAAGTTAACTTTGCATTCTACATACTGGTTTGGGTTCTGCCTTTGGGTTGGTAAGGTGATAAACAGAAGAGGCTATCTGAAGAGAGACCTGGAGAGAAGTGATACTGTAAGAGTGACTGACTGTTTCCCTTTCTCTTTATTTTAATATTCTCGGGAAAAAGGTCTGCCCCTGTGGAAGTTAGATAGATTTCAGATCATTATAACAAATAACTCTTGTTTTTTTTTTTTTTTTCTTTTCCTGAAACAGGGTTTCGCTCTGTCACTTAGGCTGGAGTGCAGTGGTGCAATCATAGCTCACTGCAGCCTCAACCTCCTGGGCTCAAGTGATCCTCCCACCTCAGCCTCCCAAGTAGCTGGGACCACAGGCATGCATCACTGCACCTGGCTAACAAATAACTTTCTAATAGAGCAATCTGAAGACTGGGCAAGCTTTCAAAGAGGAAGACTGTTTTTGTGCTTGAGATGTTTGTGTATAGTCTTGACAGATGGGCCAGGTGCCTGAAGCAGATATGGAAAATAAATATTGAAATACAGAGTAGCCATACATTTGCCATTCCTTGTATTCCTTATTATGCAGTGAACATTCTTTTGTTTAGTCAGCAGCATTTTGTTGCCTGAGTGGGTATGAAACAACAGCAAAAAAAAAAAAAAAGCCTCTTGGTTTTCAAAAGCCAAGGCCTAAGAGCCTCAAAGGACCCAGACCATAAAAATTTCACCCTAAACAATAGATTTGGGGAGATATATTTGGAGACACAGTCTACAGTCCCCTCTATTAAAGAAAAAGTCTTTGGATCAGAAAAGGAGGAGAGAGTTGGAAACAAAGTTAGAAGCTGAGATGTATTTCTGAAAATTATCTGTACTCTGACCATTTCTGGTCCCTGACTCCCGTCTCTAACCTGGTCCAAATCCAATTTAAACCTTGATAAGCATGAGGAACTGAAGACCAGGGTAACTCACTGGCTCCCTGCACAACCAGATTCTTGACTACCTCTAGGAAAATGCAAGGATCATAATTTTACCTATGTCCTAAGGAGCAGAGGAGTAGAGAAGACAGTTTCCATGGCCAAAAGTAGAATAGGAGTAGCATACTGCATTTAAAGCATCTGAGAAGCACTTGCACATGGCACAGAAACTTGAAAAGGTTTTTCTACAGGGGCAAAGAGATGTAACTGTAGCTTGGGTGGACCAATAGTTGCAGACCAGAAGAAAAAGAATTTCAGTATGTTCTTGTTTGCTTGTGCTAGTTAGTTACTGCAGACATCCATTTTGATTGTCTTTGCCTGCGCCATTTTCACTTTTAGACATTTAAAAAATATATTTTGATATGATCACTGATTACAACAGAAGTCAGCGGGATATATGGCAATAAAGACCAGGTCCCACCTTCCTATATATTGCCATTTGATAAGTTTCCTAGACAGATGAAAAGAGGAGGATGGGAAAGAGCTCCTAAATTGAGATTACATTTTCATTACCCAGAAGAGTGGTAACCTGAAAATAGAATTTATATTCATTTTTAGAAAGATGATGTTATGGCCCCTCCAGCCGGACTGTGTGGGCTGAGAGTTATATTTATCTATTCCTCAGAGTTTGTAGCAACATGCAGTGGTGGGTTTTCGTGTAGACTTACTTTTTGAGACACCTATCAATATGAGACAGGTAGTGCTAAATCAGAACTTTGTTTACCATCTGAAACAAAAATCTATTCCCCTTTGGAGAAGAAAAACTATTTATCTGAGAATAAAATAAATTTAAAATATAGATATGTAGAAGTGAAAACAAAAACCCTGAGCCCAAACAATCTAGATTCTCCAGGAAAATGTCACCGGCGTGTCAAGAATCAGCAAGGATGTTGTTTGTCTTACACAGTTTCCACCAAAGTCATAGCCCAATTCTCACAGGCATCTCAAACCTAATAAACTTCTCGCTAGAGTAACACAGACTACACATGATTTTTTGTAAACCTGACGGTAGTCACTTTGACTCAGAGAACATTGGCAAGCTGTCCCCTGCCTCTAAGCCTGTCTGTCAGAACTATTTCAACTAAAACACATCACTGAAGCAGTACACACATCTCTTTGGTCCACATTTAGTTTGACCCTAATGTATTTCTACTGCACCAAACTATTGCCTTTAAACATGTTTTGCAATCTGGGATACCAGAAAACAATTTGGGGAAGTCAAGTGAGAATGGAACCCTCGCTCTGCCTGGTACACAGTTATTCTTTAAATGAACTGAGGGTAGAAGAACAGTGTTGTGCTACTATAACAGAACACTACAGACTGGGTACTCTATGAAAAAACAGAAATTTATTCACTCACAGTTCTGCAGACTGGCAAGTCCAAGATCAAGGCACTGGCACCTGGTCAAGTGACAGCTTCCTCGCTGCAGCCACATGTGCAGAAGGCAAAAGCCTCCTGACAGCTAAAAACAATGTGAAGCTACTTTTATAAGGGCCTCAATCCCACTAATAAGGGAACAGCCTTCATAGCCTAATCAGCTCTTGATACTTAAGAGGCCCAACCTCTTAATACTATCACATTGGCAACACCTGAATTTTGGAGGGAACACATTCATACCATAGCAGTAGGTAAGACGAACTTAGATGATGGCGGATCAGTAAACCTACAAATAACAATAAATGGACAAAAAATAATACCTTATAGGGATTAGTGTCCAGAGAGGCCCAGGAACTTGAAAAAAATGTGCTGTGACTCTGTTATTCCAAGCTTATACCAAATTATCATTCTTATACTTGGTTTGCCTCTCTTCAGTATTCCTCTTTCATATAGATACATTATTTAAATGTTAATAGAAATAATACACAAATGGAGTCTCCTTTAAAATATATATATATAGGCTGGGCGCGGTGGTTTACACCTGTAATCCCAGCACTTTGGGAGGCTGAGGTGGGTGGATCACGTGGTCAGGAGATAGAGACCATCTGGGTTAACATGGTGAAACCCCGTCTCTACTGAAAATACAAAAAATTAGCCGGGCTTGGTGGCAGGTGCCTGTAGTTACAGACACTTGGGAGGCTGAGGCAGGAGAATCGCTTGAATTGAGGAGGCAGAGGTTGCAGTGAGCTGAGATTGTGCCACTGCACTCCAGCCTGGGGGACAGAGCGAGACTCCATCTCAAAATAAAATAAAATAAAATAAAATAAAAATAACACATCAGTCTTGTCTCTTTCAAGTCTTGTGTTTGTAATGATAATCAAGGATGGATGTCAGTATAGCACAGAAGCTGCGTTGATTCCTACATGAAATTTTTGTATCTTACTAGTATTTTGAAGTGATCACAACAGGCTTTCTTGTAATTAAAGAGAAAGTCTTAGTAACATATGAAGACCTTGACAGAAAAAAAAGGAAATCCTGCAGGAGTGCCTTCCTTTAGTCCAAGTAGTAACTGGTCTGCCTCGATTTCCATACCTTTAAGCTATCTGGTGAAGCCATGAGTGCAGACGAAGCAGTTGTGAGGGAAATATTTTCCCCTGGTTTTAAAAAAAAGTGATTGATGAAAAAAAGCTGCTCCTTCTTTTTAATTTTGACGAAGCTGGTCTCTACTGGAAGCAAATGCCCTGAGGATGCCCTGATGAAGAAAACAGGAATCAGGGTTTAAGGCTGTAAGGATCTACTGATTGTGGTTGGAGATTAACTGTTAAAGTTGATTTTATTGGTTCTCCACTTATACAGTCAGATAGATTTTGAATAGTTTGTCCCAATCCTATCTTTTTCATAAGCCTGGCTATTTTTAGTGTGCAATTATACAAAATATTTGGTGTTTCAGGAACACACATATCACTTCACAACAGAACAAACACTCTCACAGGTTGGGTTCTTTGGGAAGTAGATTCCGAGACAGACTTGGGTGTGCAGAATGTTTGCTATGAAGGACTCTTGAACAACATCTGTGGAAGCGAAGAGAAGGAAACAGGGGAAAGGGGAAAATTAGCCACAGTGCAGGCTGAACAGCCTCAGCTGATTCCACTGGGTGGCTCTGGAGATAAATGGCCGTTAGAGTGCTCAATATTGATCCAAAATAGCTGGGCCTTTATACTCTGCCATTGATCAGTTAGTTGGTGAATGTGGGCCACCCACTCCTGCCATCCAGGGCCATAACCTTGAGTGAGGCAGCTTTGCACCTAAAGCAACCGCAGAAGGGGATGGCAGTTGGAGGTTGTCTGCTGAAAACATTGTGACTGGCAGCAAGTCCTTCCTTAAAAGGGGATCTGGACAACATATCTCCATGTCCACCTCAACCTGAATTATCAATAAACTAGAGATTCACAACTTTTACTCCCACAATTCATCATTCTTAGGATTTGGTGTGCATCCTTCCAGACCTTTCCCTCTGTATTAGTTTCCTGTTCTCTGTGTCTGTATGCATGGATGTGAGTGTACAAATAGCATTATACAATAGGTTTTTTCATTCATCATGTCTCAGAGATCTATCTAGTTTGATTCTTTTGGATCTGGCACATCCCTAACAATTTTCCATTTATGAGTATTGTTGAAGGAATAGCTGTTTGCCAATCCAGGATCTATTCTACCTTCCTCCTTCCTCCTGATTTTATTTAGAATCACGACATGCCCACATAAAATGCTACATGCTCTCTTGTAGCTAGGGTGATACATGACACAGTTCTGGCTCAAATCTGGAAGTGGAGGTCACTATGTGAGGCTTTTAGAAAAGCTTTTCAAATGCCACTGACTCTGCTGTCACAATGTCCCGTCCCTTCTTCCTTCTGAAACACAGTTGTGACGGTCAGAGAGGGGGGTCAGGAGCCCCCTGTGACCATGTGGTTGGGAGCAACACTTACAGGCAGCAGATCAGAAAGACAGAAGGAGTCTGACACTTGGATGATATTTTGAATTTGCTACACCAGCCCTGGACCAACTACCTCTACATTCTGCAGTGTGAAAAAAAATAATAATAATGCATTTGGTCAGAACACTCCAAATTGAGTTATCTATTGTGTACAACAGGAACTAATCCCCAACTAATTCAAGTGTATCTGTTTACTTACCTGTTCCAAATTGATAGACAATTTGTTTTCGACTTTCCCTCTTACAAAGCCGCAATACGTATCCTTGTATATGTCTCCTTAAGCATATGTGTGAATGTTTCTCTAGAGTAGATTTAAAAAGGAGGAAACCCAGGCTGATAGGGTATGCACATATTTAGTTTTAACCAGTGACCTGAGAGATTATGATATTTCCACAGCAGTGAATGAGGACTCTTCTTCGCCCTCATCCATCCTAGATACCAACTTTGATATTATTCCTTTGTTTTTTTTTCTAGTCTGACAATAAAACAATTATTGCTTTATTTTGTATTTTTCTGATTACCAGTGAGGCTAAATGTCTTTTCATATGTTTGTGGGATAATTCTGTTTCCAAACTTTATGCATTTTTCCACATAGTTGCTTGTCTTTTTCTTACTGATTTTAGGAACCTTGCATTTGACATTTATCTTTCCCTCTGATATCATGATGTTTTAAACATATAATATAAAATTAAATTCTGGAATTTCATCAATTTTTTTTCCTCAAGTTTAATTTTAGTTGATAATGTCTTAAAATTTGTTACTATGATAATTACAGTTATAAAAGTAACTTTTTTACAGTAAAGTTTCACTGGATCAACTGAGAGAAACCAGACTGAATGAGAGGAAAGCCCAATTTACAGACTAATAAATTAGTGATTATTAAATTGCATTAATCAGTAAATATTTGCTATAGTACTTCACTATTAAAAAGATATTTAAAATTAATAAACTAATTGTTTAACTTTTAATAGGTATCATCACATTATTCTAAAAACATTTTGCATATTCTAGAGTGCAGAATTTATCAAAATCTCCACCAAGGATCTTTTTGGAATTTGTACATCAAAATTTACAAAGTTGTTTATCTTAGTTCAATGTAACATTTATTCAATGTAACTAAAAATGTATACTAAGTGCAAGAAACCATGGCAAGGACACACCAAATAAAAAGTCAGCTGTAAAAAAGATTGGAAGGATAATTGTAATAATTATAAGAACTAAAATGTACTGTTCATTTACACTACATATCCAGGCACAATGCCAAGTTATTTACCTTCAATAAGGAGAAAATAATGACAAATCAGAAACTGTCAATCTAGATAGATAGTTATTTCTGAAATAGAGTTTCTCTCTAAATCCTGTATATGAAATTCAAGAGTCAAGGAATCAAAATATTTTGTCAATTTCCTTTCTGAATCCCTAGCAAATTATATTTCACCATATGTTTGGTAAATATTATGGAGTTATATAAGTTTCAAAGTGAACTTCAGTTTAGAAAGGTTTAAATTTTTCAAAATTTCTGGATAAGTAAAGTACAAATTAATGTTTACGGTACCGATGGTGCTCGTTTGGCCCTTAGCCAAATTAATCGTGAGTTTAAGGCCCTGCTTTATAACAGGCAGGCAGCTGTAACCGGTTTTAGCTTGCGCTAGGTATGGTCCGAGGATGCCTTATGCATATAATCAGCACCCAGAGATCCTAGAGTTTTCTAGCTCCATTACCCATGACAACTTTTCAACATGCCTTTCAAGCTGTTATTGTTCTTTGGGGAGGAGTACAACATGTTATAATTGAGAGTATGGGATTTAAGATAAAAAGCATATATTCAAGTCCTGATTTGGGGACTTAATGACCTAAAATCTCTTGAAATCATCTGAGCCTCAATTTTTTCATCTGTGAAGTAGGAAGCATAATAAAGCCTTCTGCATGTAACTTCTATGAAGATCAGATGAAAAATGAGTGTGAACGTTCTCTGTAAATTGGAATGTACTGTACATGCTATTATTTGTGGTTGTTGAATTAAATAATTGCATTGAATGAATTCTGCCTCAAGGTGTTAAGTTTGCCTACGTGGAGAAGAGAATCATTGAGATCTGTCGGCATCTCCTTTATGTCCCTGTGATAGCCATGGTGGCTCTATCTATACCTACATCTCAATTATATCTGCATCAGTGCATCTTTATATCTGTGTTAAAAGAGAGTGACGAAACTATGACAAACCGGAAAATCCATTTTCTGCCTCGAGAAGGTTGTTGTTACTCAACAGCAGCTCACTAGTTGCTGCCCAGTATTGCCTCAATCTTTAAATTTCAAGACAAGATTAAAAAATCCATGTGATTTTTTTTAATTGTTAAAATATGCTCTGGGTACCATAAATGATTGGGTCTGGCCCATTAGCTTCTTTTTTGGGATTCATGGCCTAAAACCAATGCAGACAGAGCTATAATACTTTGTCGTCCATTCTCTCTCGGGTCATTATTCAATCTTAGTCCTCTATGTTTTATCACTCCGGTAGGAAAGCAAGGATTGTCTAGGATGAGTCAGCAGATAGGCTGCCGTCCACTGGATCAGGTACCCAACCTTGGTTGCAAATTGGAAACACCCAAAGACCTTTAAAAATTGCTGAAGTCTGGGTCTCAATCCCATAGATTCTGATTCACATGGCCTCAGGTATAACCCGATCTTCGGGATTTTGTAAAGCTTCCCGAGAGATTCTAATGGGCAGCCAGGATTGTGGTCACTGAAGTGATGAAGGGAAATTGGGAGGGTTCACCCAGTGCCTGGAGCAGTGGTTATTAGTAGGTGATTGGGGGTAAATTCTCCAGCTGGCAGTGGGAACGTGCCAAAGTCTTATGGGGATCATGTTAGCAATAGGAATAGTCCTGAGTACTTAGAGAAATGCTCGTGGCTGAATGAATGGATAAAGAAAATGGATAAGAAAATTTCTTAAATAATATTTCTTTAAGTATTAATTATTTAAGTACATATATACTTAAAGAAATATTATTCAGCCATGAAAATGGAAGAAATACTTCTATATGAGAAAATGTGAATGAACCTTGAGGGCTTTATGCAAAGTGAAATAAGCCAGACACAAAAAGACAAAAACTGCATTATCTCATTTGTACTTGGAATCTAAAAGAGTCCAACTCAGAGAAGCAGAGTACAGTAGTGGTTGCCAGGGGCTGTGGGGTCCGGGGAATTAGGAGATGTTTGTCAAACGGCACAAACTTATAAAATGAATAGATTCTGGGGATCTATTGTACAGCATGGCAACTATAATTAATAATACTATATTGTATGCTCGAAAATTGCTAAAAAAGTGTTCTTGGCCCAGCACGGTGGCTCACGCCTGTAATCCCAGCACTTTGGGAGGCTGAGGCTGGCAGATTACAAAGTCAGGAGATCGAGACCATCCTGGCTAACACGGTGAAACCCCTTCTCTACTAAAAATATTAAAAAAAAAAAAAACTAGCCGGGTTTGGTGGCCGGCGCCTGTAGTCCCCCCTACTGGGGAGGCTGAGGCAGGAGAATGGCTTGAACCTGGGGGGCAGAGTTTGCAGTGAGCCAAGATCGCACCACTCCGAGATTGCATGCACTGCAGCTTGCATGACAGAGCGAGACTCCGTCTCAAAAAAAAAAAAAAAAAAAAAAAGGAGTGTTCTCACCACAGACACATGTGAGGTGATGGTTGTGCTAATTAACTTAATTGTGGCAATCATTTCACAATGTATACACATATAATATCATCATGTTGTATCTCTTAAACATGTACAATTTTAATTCATCAATTTTACCTCAATAAATCTAGGGGTAAAGTCCTAATAGGAAAGGACTTCTACAGTATTTTAGACCATGCTTAAATTTAAAAAAATTTTTCAGACAATGCTTAAAATTTGCATTAATTCTATAATAGTTTGTTTCTACAGTATTTAACAAAAGATGCTTTGCTTTACTTTGTCATTCACTTAGCTTTGTACCATATGTGATGTGAAATGAGGCTCCGTACTTTTGTAACTTCAGCACCATGTGCTATTCTTGCCTGTCCAGCTCTCTGCCTTCTGGAAACAGAACTCCTCTCTGCTGTAGGAAACCCATTTCTGAGATTCAGGTGAGGTTGAGGATGGCTCCCCATGCAGCCTGCCCCCATCCCACAATATACACCAAGACAAAGAAGGTGTGTGTGTGTGAGCAAAGCTAGACATACCCTCCACCTTCCTAGGCACAGTGGCTGATACAGACAATAGTCTCAAGCAGCATAGGCTTCCCTCAGATTTGATACATGGGTGTTGGTGGAGCGGGTGGGAGGAAGGGACTGTTCTCCTTGGGGATGGAGAATTGGGTTAGATTCATTTGTGGCCATCTATCTCAGCCTTAGAGAGGACACTGAAGAAGAGTATGAGGCCAGAGTACAGAGAGAGAAACAAAGATGAGAGATCCAGAGAGCTGATAACATCGTCATTTGAGCCCTTTGTATCCAGCTGTCTGAATGTTTAAGTTACACGTGTGAGGATATTTTCCTTTTTGCTGAAGCTATGTCAAGCTAGGATTCTGCTGTTGACTGTTCTACTGAAAGTAATTCTTATCCTCCACTCCTAAGCTGATGTAAGCAAAGTCATCAATTTACCTGAAATCATGACATAAACACCTGCTAAAATAGGACTGGAATGCAGCAGCTCGATCTAGGCTCACTGCAAGCTCCGCCTCCCGGGTTCAAGCGATTCTCCCCCTCCCGAGTAGCTGGGACTACAGGTGCCCACCACCATGCCTGGCTGATTTTTTAATTATTATTATTTTGGTAGAAACGGGGTTTCACCATGTTGCCCAGGCTGGTCTTGAACTCCTGAGCTCAGGCAATCCACCCACCTCCGCCTCCCAAAGTGCTAGGATTACAGGTGTGAGCCACCGCACCCGGCCGAGAGCTTTATCTTTCATACCAGATTAATATTTTATCAGAAAAGAATCCTCCGCATAGAAAAATAAACTGTATACCAATTAGACCAGACAGTAAATCTGGAGAGATCCAAGCTCTGGTCAGGTCCAGCTTTACTCTTTTTACAAGACCTAGGAGAGGAGCTCACAGAGATAAAAGAGGAAGATACACTCAGTGTGCTATTGTTACAGCTCACATTTTTTCTCTTTCACTTTTACATTTTTGTCTTTCACTTTTCTTTCCCCTAACTGACCTATAAATTCAATGTTATTCTCATAGACAATCCCAGCAGTGGTTTTGTGAAAACTGGCAAGCTGACTTTACATTTTACCTAAAAATACCAAGGGTCAGGTATAGCCAAGGAAATTGCAAGAAGAAAAAAGAAAGCAGATATCAGATATCAAGACTTATTGTAATGTTATAGTAATTTACAGAATATGGTATTGATGCAGGAATAGACAAATAGATCAATAAAACTCAACAGAGCATTTTTTTAACCTTTAAACCAATTTCAGACTTACAGAAAAGTTGTAAAAACAGTACAAAGAATTCCCTCATATCTGTCAACCTCCTTCTCCGAATGTTACCATCAGATTGATTTTCAAAGCAACTTTAAATTTGACATATAAAATTGTTTTCTAAGTTTTGTTTTAATTTGTGGGTTTTTTTCTTATCATCTGTGACCCTGAAATATTTTTTGTATGTTTAGTAGTCAGTGTATTTTCTCCTTTGCAAATTTTCTATCCTGATAGTTTCCCCATCTTTGGAATCTTCGCGTTGTTCTTGTAAATTTGTCTGAGGTTTTGTATTTTAAATGTGTTAGATGTGTTTGTCGTACTTGTACAAACGAATTTAACTTATTCTTTTCTTTTTAATTTTTTGATTACATAGTTTTGTGTTTTTAAGTATTTAAAAAATCTATTTATATTTTGAGAACCATTTTGCATTTAGTGGTGGTACATCATTTTATTTTTTCAGGATATATTTTGAATTCTGGAAAAAGCCAGAAACAATTAGTAAGTCAAGTGTCCAGAGTACAGATAAACAAATGTTACTGTGGTAAGAAAACTACAGATCAAAAACCAAAACCATCAGCAGCTGGATGATAATATGATGATAACATTATGATTTTCTTGTGTGATCAAGCAATTGCTTAAAAGCCAATTTCAAAAATATTTTTTAAATGGCAGCATCAGTTGGATGATATGAGATCCCATGGAAATTAATTTGAAGGATAACAGAAAAAACTATTTTCCCATTATGACTTCTGCGATCTAATGAAGGGACACATAGTATGAAAGACTCTGAATTTCTTTCACAGTATGAAAGAAATTGAGTTTTGTTAGCTCTGTCACTTTTAAGGTGTGTAATTATTGACAAGGTTTGTATTTCCTCTGTTCATTCAACATATTTGTTAAGTGCCTACTATGCACTAGGCTGTGTCTTAAGTGCTGAGTATCTGTTAATAAACTAAAGAGCCAAAAATCTTTGCCTTGTAGAATTCATATTCCAGAGAAGACAAACAAAGAATAAACAAAATAAACAATGGCATAGTAGGTTAGAAGATAGCAAACACTACCTTCTAACATTACTTCTAAAATTAAGTAGGGTAGGAGCATAGAGGGTGTGAGGGTGAAGGAAATGGACTTTTGCAATTTAGAAAGGTGGTCAGGAAAGGCCTCACTGAGAAGGTTACAATTTAGCAAAAGCTTCAATGGAGCAAAAGCTTGATGGAGGCGAAAGAAAAAGTCGTGTTGATATTCTGGAGGTAAATATCCCAGGCAGAGGAGAGCAAGAGCCAAGTCCCTGAGGAGGGCTGTGCTTGGAGTGGTTTAGAAGTGGCCTCTGTGGCTGAAGTGGAGTGAATGAGGGCAAGAGTAGCAGCAAATGAAGCGAGAAAAATAAGGGGAGAAGAGCAGGTAGATTATGCAAAGCCCTAAAGGCCACTCTGAGAACTTTGGCTTTTATCTTGAATGAAAATAGGAGCTACATGAGAGTTTTAAATCAGGATCTGCCTTATGCTTTTTTAAAACAATAATATGTATTTTTATTATAGCATAATTTTTTTTCACTCGGCAACCACTCATGAACATTTTCCTGTGTCAATATACGTTTATCTATAGGTAAGATTATTTTTTCTTTTTTTAATTTATGCATAATAGATGTACATAGTTTGGGGGTACATGTAATAATTTGATATATTCATATAATTTGTAAAGATCAAGTCAGTGTGCCTTATGCTTTAATTGGATCACTCTGGCTGCTCTATTGAGAATAGACTGTGGAGGGACAAGGGTTGAAGTGGGGAGATTAGTTAGGAAATCGCTAGAATAATCCAGATGAGACATAGTGACAGCCTAGCACAGGCCAGTAGGGTAAGAGGTAGTAGCTTGGTACAGAAAGGGTTCAAATTCTAGATATATTTCAATTTAATTTTCTCATATATACCGATCTGAATAATAGGTATTAAATGATAGTCATAATAGCTACATGTATATCAAAATTATCTTAATGAATTGCTATCAATTTTGACGTTACATTTCTTAAAATGCTCCTTAAAAGTGTAAGTTATTACAGAAATGTGAAGTGTATGGTTGGAAGAAATAAACATCTCTGCTGGAGTAATATTCATGTGTGGAATAGAGGCCAACCATGCCATCTAATTGTAAGACTTTTCCATGAAAACAGATGAGGGCTCAGGGTCATTCTAAGAGCATGGGGAAAAATCTTAAAGATTGGTATAATCTTTATACCAATGACGGTAAAGTTTGAGGGCCAGTCGAAAAGGCCTGTTGGTATTTGATAGATTTTGTCCATCCAGAGATAATTGTTTATAGATGGTTATATTCTTAGACCTCATTGGAATGGCCAATTAAATGTGACTCAAGAGCCAAGATATTAAAGTATCTTGGACAAGTATATAGCCTTCCTCAAGGTCAGACTGGGAAATATTCCCTAAGAAGCAACCTTAGCTTCATGTACCTGAGGCCTTAAAGATTCTAAAAGTTGGAGGTGCCAGAATGCACTGATACATGATGAGGGCCGGGCACCATGCTAGACATTTATGTGTGTTAGCTCATGTCATCCACACAGTAACCCAACCAGATACCTGAAATCTCATTTCATGGGTATGGAAACTCTGGTTTATCAAGGTAAAATAGGTACAATGACTTACCCAGAGTGATAGAGTTAGCGAGTGGTGGAGACGAGATCTGCATGCATGGAAGCCTGTGACCTTTTTCTTATATTTTACAAAGGAAATATGTAGGACTCCATGTCCCCAAGGTACTTTAAAGGTCAATGCTAGGAGATAGAATGTGGATGGATTCTGGCCATTTCCATGGCAACCATGGGGATGGGACGCTCAAAGAGATGTGAGAAGTTATGGTTTCCACACCTGGTCACGCATTACAACCACCATGACTATCAGAGATACACATTTTCTTTCATGTTGAAAGATTTCCAGGTAACTTTTATGTAGACAGCCTATCACTGGCCTGCCATTCTGTGCTTGATGAAGAGCACTCAGAATTAGGTGTAGGGAAAAAAGTAAATCGCCTGTGACGTAGAGTCCATAGGCAGCAATCTGAGACTCAGTGGCCAGAAGAGTCCAAAGAAATCTGGGCTTGCCATTTAAATCAAATGTAAAAATTTTTTCCTCGATTTTGTTTCTAAACAATTAATCCTTTTGAGGTGCTAAAGGCATCATTTCCTGCATTGTGAAAGTCTCATGGAATGATACAATATTAGAGGTGGAAGGAAACTCAGCAATTGTTTCTCTTCAAGAGCGGAGAAGACCAAGACTCAGACGTAAAGTGACTTGTCAAAGGTCACTAGAATCCAGATCTGACGCTCACTCCAGTGCAGTCTCCACCAAGCCATTCTGCCTCTCTAAATACTTTTCTCAACATTGTGTGCCATTCTGCTGAAAAAAACTTGGTATTCTCGGGGTTTAATTTCAACATTCAATTTTGCCTACCTGCAGCTGTCCCCAGAAACAAATACTGAGTACTGAAAAAGCTATTCCCTGTCCACCCAATTTTAATGATTTAAATTTCTTCAGCAAGCACAGGACCCTACCTTGGGTTTTTTGTTGTTGTTGTTGTTGTTGTTGTTGTTGTTGTTGTTTTGAGACAGATTCTTGCTCTGTCGCCCAGGCTGGAGTGCAGTGGCGCGATCTCAGCTCACTGCAAGCTCCGCCTCCCGGGTTCGCGCCATTCTTCTGCCTCAGCCTCCCAAGTAGCTGGGACTACAGGCGCCCACCACCGCGCCCGGCTAATTTTTTGTATTTTTAGTAGAAACGGGGTTTCACCGTGTTAGCCAGGATGGTCTCGATCTCCTGATCTCGTGATCTGCCCACCTCAGCCTCCCAAAGTGCTGGGATTATAGGCGTGAGCCACCGCGCCCGGCCCTACCTTGGTTTTAAATGTCAGGACTTTTCTGTATTTCATTTTCATTTCTAAAGGTTATTCTAATATAAATGGGGGAGGGGGAGCAGAGCTTGTAGGTCTCTTCATTTGCCTCTTAGTCATGCTTTCAGTGTTAAACAAACCACATTTTCTGAGTTATTTCCCCAATAACTTTTACACCAACACGTTTTGGAAAGAAAAATGAGGGAAACATTTGCTACACCTAAGCCATTTCCTATCTACTCTTCTGCTTTAAACAAACACTTCTCTAGCTAAAATGTTCTCTGTTCATGCCTGGAGAACCCAGGCTTCACTGAAGGAGCAGCTGCTGATTGGCTGCTGCAGTGTGGGGAAGGGAGGGAAATCAGATCAGTGCCGTCCTCCTCCTGGACCAGCTGCAACTCATCTGTTTCCTTCTCTCTTTATCTTCATATTTTGGGCCAAAGAATCGGGACATCTGCTTCCTGGTGCATCTTCAGTTGTACAGAAAAACTTGAGTAACATGCTGTTAGCCTAATATTTAAAATTTTTTCTGTCATTTTTATAAGGCAAAAATTATTACAAGCTTTAGTGTCTTTCTCTTCATCTTTCTCTCTTTTTAAAATAATGTCTCTTAAAAAAATAGTAAAAAAAAAAAATGTTGCTTTCCCCAGGAAACACTCCTTGACTGTTAATACAGGTTAGATTCCAGTTATATGCCCTCATAACCCCTTGTATGTCAGCTTTTAGCATTTAACTACAATTACAATGAATTATTCAATCATGTAACTCACTGATGTCTCTTACCCACTATGACGGCAAGGACAATATATGTCTGATTTACTGCTTTATCCCTGGCCTAGTACAGTGCCATGCACCTGGAAAGCACTCAGTAAATATTTCTTTAATGAAAAAAGTAAAATAAAATAATATCTCTTTACTTCGAAGCATCAAAAATTGTGGTAAAAAAAAAACAGGAAAGTAGTAGGAAGATCTAGATTCTTCTTAAACAGTGATGTCATTCTGGTTTGGCCACTACTCTTTGGTCAATGGGAGTCTCAGAAATTAATTAAGGTTCTTGAGGTTCTTCAGACACTTGGCCCACATATCATGGAATCCCTTACTTGAAATGTTACTGTATCGCGGCCGGGTGCGGTGGCTCACACCTGTAATCCCAGCACTTTGGGAGGCCGAGGTGGGCAGATCACGAGGTCAGGAGATCCAGACCATCCTGGCTAATATGGTGAAACCCCGTCTCTACTAAAAATACAAAAAATTAGCCAGATGTGGTGGCGGGCGCCTGTAGTCCCAGCTACTTGGGAGACTGAGGCAGGAGAATGGCGTGAACCCGGGAGGCGGAGCTTGCAGTGAGCCAAGATCACGCCACTGCACTCCAGCCTGGGAGACAGCGAGACTCCGTCTCAAAAGAAAAAAAAAAAAGTTACTGTATAGCCATAAGAAGGAAAACTCATGTAATTCCAATTAAATACAATAAAACTGAACTAAAGTTTTTTAAAAAGTCACTGGACAGTAGGCTCTACTTAAGGCTTATCATCTGAAAGAGGAAGACATTTATTTTAAAATATTCGGTTTATTAAAATACCATGACTTGATATGTAGATTAGGACTATTCCTTTGGACTCAGCATCATGTTGTTAAATTGCAGAGAAAATAATGGAGAAGGAGCAGGACTTTGGTAGAGATGACTTTAAGGAGAGTTGAGGGAAAGAATATGGCTTTCCCCCACAGTCTCTCTCTCTCTTTCTTTTCCCCTCACCTCACCTAACCATGAACTTAACCTAATTTTTTTTTTTTTTTTTTTTTACATGGAGTCTTGCTCTGTTGTCCAGGCTGGAGTGCAGTGGTGCAATCTCGGCTCACCACAACCTCCGCCTCCCAGATACAAGTGATTCTCCTGCCTCAGCCTCCCGAGTAGCTGGGATTGCAGGCATGCACCACAACGCCCGGCTAATTTTTGTTTTTTAGTAGAGATGGGGTTTCACTATGTTGGCCAGGCTGGTCTCGAACTCCTGACCTCGTGATCCGCCCACCTCGGCCTCCCAAATTGCTGGGATTACAGGCGTGAGCCACTGCACTTAGCCCTAAAATTATTTTGCTCCTGAATTTCTGACTTATCTCCTTCTTTGGACCACCCTCAGAAAAAACTATCACATAGATATTGTTTTATGATTTGTTTTCTTATAATGAACAGTTAGCATCTTCACATTCTCCTAATCCACCAACCAGTGCTTTTTGTTTTTGTTTTTGTTTGAGACAGGGTTTTACTCTATCATGCAGGCTGGAGTGCAGTGGCATGATCATGACTCACTGCAGCCTCAATCTCCCAGGCTTAAGAGATCCTCCCACCTCAGCCTCCCAAGTAGCTGGGACCACAAGGTGCACGCCACCACACCTGGCTAATTTTTGTATTTTTTGCAGAGATGGGGTTTTGCCATGTTGCCCAGGCTGTTCTTGAACTTATGGGCTCAAGCGATTCTCCTGCCTCAGCCTCCCAAAGTGCTGGGAATAGAGATGTGAGCCACCGTGTCTGGCCTCAACAAGTTTTCCTAAGCAACCTACCAGGGTGTGCTATGTGACACCAAGAGAGGACACACAGATAGGACAAAGCTATTCTTTGGAAAGGGAAGTGAGTACCCCTTTCACTTCTCTGCTATGAACCTGGGGGGTCAGTTTGGGAGGCAGAAGACCTGGAGTGAGCTTTGGAGACAGCACACAGAACAGAACTTAGAAATCTAAGAGGCAGCATCTCGGGAAAAACCGAAACCAGATCTGGGCAAACTACACAAACCAGTCATGATGCCAAATGGACTATATGCTGAGAGAGAGGATCAAGGCATGAGGCAGCAGAGTGACGGGAGCCTGGGGAAGTCAAAGGGAAACTACAGGGTTCAAAACAGACAGTGGGAGGCAGGGCCCAGGCTAAAGCTGAGCTTGGATGCTCTTAATATGCTACCTATGATGGTGATGGTGTCTGGACGGTGTCCCCTTGGCTCTTCCTACCCATCCCATCTGTGCTGGTAATTAAGTCATGAACTCTCAGCTCCAAGCCCATCCTTCTATAATAGGCTCTGTGATGCTGGGGTGGAGTCCTACTGACAATTCTCCTTTGCCAGCTGTTTCCCTGGTAGGCTCAGCCCATAGCGGGTGCTAGAGAGAAACTGCTAGGCAAGAGGAGGTAGAACGACCTGATCCCTCCCGCTCCTGTCAGCCTTGCCTCAGCAACAGCCCTGTCGTAGCAGTGATCATTGATTGCAATGCTTTTCCTACAGTCCTCTGAGGCACCCTGTGTTCCTTCCATGGAAAACTGGGTCCCAGCTCTCCTCTTTCAAGCTTCTGTGTTCTAATAACCCCAACCTCTTCCCTTTGCTCCCCTAGCCTAGGATGGTAGCTGCTTCCTGCCATTACTAGTTCTGTGTTATTTCAGTGTCCTCTCTTTGCATTTCCAGTCTTCCAATGCCTTTTAAATCAATTCCTTATATTAAACTCTCTCTGTTAATGTAAGTGTGGTCTCCATGTGTTTCCTTGACTGGATCTTGCCTGACTGAAGGGTCAATCCTGTTGAAGGTGGGGAACCCACCTGCTTCTTTTTCTACGTGCACCGAGCACTTACTCTGGAATTTTGTTGAGTGGACTTATTTAATCCTAATAGTCCAGTGATGTTGCTGTTATCCCCATTTAATCCTGGTAGCTGAGACTCAAAGAAGTTATGTCGTTTCCCCAGAGTCACAAAGTACATGCTATTAGAACATGCTAATAGAACTTGATTCAGACCCAGGCTTGCCTGACTCCCAAGCCCTTCTCTTGTATTCCAACTTGCTGTCTGCTGTTCCTGCCAGTGTCCCAACTTCCTCCTTGCACTCTCCCATCATCTCCTTCTCTTTCCTCTGAGTGGGGTGTGCGGAGGTGGTTGAGTCCTGGGGCAGAGGAACAGAAGGGCCCTGAGTGCCCATGAAAGATGGGTGGAGGGGAGGATGTTGAGGCTACAGAGTCCACTGAGTTGAAAGGATCCATGAATACAATACAATGCCTGGAGTGAGAATGGCGCCGCCAGTAGTGAAAATAGCCAGGCCAGGGAGGGAAGCATTGGGTGGGAATTCTGAAAGCGAAAGCCAAGACAGGATGAACTTGGGAAGCAATAGCTTCTGCTTTGAAACTGCTGCCTTTTCCCTAAATAGGTTCAGATACCTTGAGAAAGATTAAGCTACAAGGAAAATGAGTTCTGTTTAGCATTATCCTTATAGCTTGCATTTGCAAATCTTAACAATACATGGAACATTGGACAGTTTAAGGCACAATGTCATCTGGCAACACAACAACTTTGTGGGATTGTTTACCTTGCTGATGTTCTGGCTCTTATAATGATGTTTCCCTTTTCACTTCTAGGAGGCTCAGAGTCCAAAGAGTAACCCACCTTTTGCAAATGAGTAAACTTTGTGTCACCACAGCTACAATAATTTTCCTTATATTATCTGTGATAATTTTATTTCAACATTTTATCTTGCATTGCATACATCTTTGTGAATCTCCTCGAAATCTTTTGGAAAAAAATTCCGAGGACATTTCTACCTCCATCTATATGTTCATCTAAATGTTCTTCTATAACTTTTTCTCGACCTCCATTTATACTTCATTTCTACTGTCATTTATTTCCTCCTTGCCTCCGTTTCTGCACTGATCTGCTCGGACAGCTGTGAGGGAGAAATGGATAGTCCAACTCTGTCTTTGTAGTCTTCCAGTTGTGTGTTTTTAACCCAAATTTGAATATGAAAGCCTAATTATGAAGCTTTTGACATAAAGATGGTTCACATCTGGTCTTAGAAACCTCCACTGTGTTTCTACAAGAAAGCCAGTCGTTGACAGACATACTAATGGGCCTGTGATATAGAACTCAAGCCTTAAAAAGTTCTAACCCATCAAGAAATCCCATTCATCATTTCATTTTCTGGAAAGGATATAAAAAATGAAATGTCAGAGCTATAATGTCAGGACTGTTTAAAATGTCAAGTGCTTGTTGTTGCATAGCCTGGCTGTCTGCTGTTCTGATCAAACCTCCAACTGGCATAATAATTACAGATGATACATCGCATTTTCATGCACAACTGGATGCAAATTTATAATGAATCATATGAAAACATTCTCACTGCCCAGCCTGAAGTTTTTCCCTCTTACTACATAGCTTAAGATTTTTCTTTTGAAGCAGAGCATCATTACTAATGCAAGACAGCATTCATGAATAAGAAATAAGTGCAGAAAAAAAAGTTTCTCAGATAAGCCAGAACTCAGTCATTTATAATATACAGATGCAACAGGAGCAAAGAGGCAGCAAGCACATTTACCACATGGATGTTTAATCTAAGAATGCTAAACTGTGGAGACACTTTCCAATGGATAATCCAGATCTATTTCAAGGTGTAGATTAAGTGCACAAGGAAACACATATGAGAGCTCTAATTTGAACAGATAGGTATGGAGACAATCCTTTAGTGTAATCATTATGTTTTAATCTGCAGAGACAGCACAGAAAAGCAACAATGCATCTGTTTAGGATCTTTATGCAAGTCTCTACTGGATTAAAATAAGTGCTATATTCACAAGCCTATATGAATTATAACAAAGACCTGAAATCAACAGCATGTACATGGGGAAGATTCTATTTCTTCTCTACTGAAATGTTGTGCTCATTGATAGCTGGGACAGGTATTCTCACAGCTACTTCATTTTCACCTTCCCTAGACCAGCCTTGTCAGGAGATTTGGAGGAGTCTGTCTCCATGTCTGGCTGCTTCCCATTACAGATTACTCTCAGCACATTGGAGAAGTCGAAGCTCTTGTAAACAATCTCCAGGAGATCCTGATCTTTTGCCATGCCATTGATAAATTCTTCTAAAGTCAATTCCCCTGGAAAATAATAAACAGTTAATAAGAGGCTTTGTCTATACCACTCACTGGCACAAATGATATACTCACTGGTATGTTTATTGATATTCTTTTGATATCCTTTCCCCTCAACCAGACTCTAAGATCTTTGAAGATCTTCATTTAAACAAAAAAAAAAAAAAAAAGCATTCACTGGTGGTGTTGCCAATGAAAATAAAGATAATGAAACTATTTTTACGTTTAGTTGAAAACATCAGGTAATGCCCCAGATGAAATAAGAGCACATATGCAATTATATCTCTGCACAGTATTGGTTTTTGGACTTTTAATCTTGAAGATATGACCAAGTCTTAGGAGCATGACAGATTGGAGATTTTTAAGATCAAGACAAAATGACTACTCACAAGGCTATTTTCAATATTCTTCTCTCTGAAGAAATAATTCTTGGGACTGTCTAAAGCTGTGAGAAAGCTTCAACATGTGTTCATTCCACAGGTTATTTTTGCTCATTAGTTCTCTACTCCTTTTCTGGTTTTTGAGTCCTGATCTTATCACCTTGACTTACACCTTAGGTCTGTGCTGGCCAGCCCACTGCTGTAAATTTATCGCCTTATATCCATGTGTCCTGGCTGCCATGTTTTTCTACTACCTTCACCCCACAAGATGACTTTCAAACATTTTTGGGGAGGGGGAATTCTCTGTTGATATAAATCATTTGGGTTGGGATTATGAGTGTGTTCAAGTTGAAGGGTACAGATGCAGTTATTGATCTCAAAGAGACTGTACCCAGGGGAGGTTTGTGGATGGATAGATCAGCCAAAGACGGACGGAGTGCATTCAAGAACTGGAGAAAGTACATTCAAGGAAGGAAGTCAACAGGGACTGAAGTCAGGTGTTAGGCTGTACCTATACTTTTTAATGGAGAAGACAAATATCTAAAATACCACAATATTGATTCAAATGTCAAACAGCATGCATCATCATATATTCGTAAGACACCTCCCTTTTGGTTTCAATGCAAAATGCTAAAATGCATTTTTTAAGAGAAAAATCTAATCTGTGTTCTTTATGTTTTGCTTATGCCAAAGAAAGGTCTGTGAAAAACCTTAGTTAACAGCAGTCATGAGTAGGGCCCCATGTGTGTCACAGAAAAGGTACAATCGTAGAATAAACCATAGGGAGTAGAGAAGATTGCAAATTTTTAAAAGTGGTATGTGTGTGGCAGGGGAGAGTCCCATGGGTCAGTGGCAACGGGGTAGGGAACCTCAAACAATCACAGAATAACCGCCCTTTGCAAAAGAAAATCACAGCTGGCAAATTCCCAACCCCAAAGACTTTTCAAATTTATCGGGGCTCAGCATGACCAAGAGAGAAGTGGAAGTGGAGCTGGAGACAGTTTTGACTGTTTAGTTATCAAACTTCTCTGCTATAACTACTGGCTATAGAAGAGGCAGCATCTGAAAGAACCGGGATATAGTAGTGGTCTCAGCTGAAAAGCAATACAGGTTACTGACATGGAAAAGACAGAAAAGATGGAAGTATTCACTGCTGTTTTTTCACTTTCTTCAAAACACTTGTGAATTCTGCTTATTAACTTTTTTCATGTTACCTAACCACTTACCATAAAAAAAAATCTCTGTTCCAAATCATCAAACTCTACCTATAGTAACATGTTTACCATATCTAAACTACTTCTTTTGAAATTTTCCTCAGTTTCCCTCCAGCACTCAACATTCATTCATTTATTCATCATGTTTATTAAGCCCTAACCACAATTACCATTTCTATTACCACACAGCTACCGCCACTATAGCCGACGACAGTGCTATGAATATGGTAGGTGCTCAGAAGGCACACACTGACTAATTGCCTTCCTTTATCTGATGTTCTTTAACATTACTTCCTATTCTGCTTTGATTTGACTGTGGATTTACGCCCCAACAAATTAAAAGAATGGGCTTCCGTATTTCCCTAGAAAGAGTCACCTGTGGAGGTCCAGAAGCTTCCCACTAAAGAATCTACCAGCAAGGCCGTGAGCGGTGGCTCACGCCTGTAAACCCAGCACTTTGGGAGGCCAAGGTGGGCGGATCACGAGGTCAGGAGTTCCAGACCAGTCTGGCCAACATAGTGGAACCCCATCTCTATTAAAAATACAAAAAAGTAGCCGAGCGTGGTGGAGGGCGCCTGTAGTCCCACCTACTTGGGAGGCTGAGGCAGGAGATTCGCGTGAACCCGGGAGGCGGAGGTTGCAGTGAGCCGAGATGGCGCCACTGCACTCCAGCCTGGGTGACACAGCGAGACTGTCTGAAAAAAAAAAAAGGCAAAGATTCTACCAGCAAAAAGCCAATGCCTGTGAGAGATGATAGAGCAGGGAGATCATGGGACTTAGAAGTAATCTGAAGTCATTACTGAGTTTTTATTACTTTGTTTTATATATACAGACACATTTCAATTTTTTTTTCTTCTTCTTCTTTTTTTTGAGACGGAGTCTCCCTCTGTCTCCCAGGCTGGAGTGCAGTGGGGCTATCTCGGCTGACTGCAAGCTCCGCCTCCCGGGTTCACATCATTCTCCTGTCTCAGCCTCCCGAGTAGCTGGGACTACAGGCGCCCACCACCACACCTGGCTAATTTTTTGTAATTTTTGGTAGAGACGGGGTTTCACCATGTTAGCCAGGATGGTCTCGATCTCCTGACCTCGTGATCCACCCACCTCGGCCCCCCAAAGTGCTGGGATTACAGGCGTGAGCCACCGCACCCGGCCGACACATTTCAATTTTTGTAGGACATTATTCAGAAACTTCACGATTTTATTTTTATAAGTTGAAATATATGTAATTGGAATCTACGTTGTTTAGGGCTATTTGTTGTATTGGTGGGTGCATTCTGTATGTCTGGGGACCCTGAAGGTCAGTATCACTGGTGGCCCTTTCATCACTCACTACCAATTTCAGGAGTTTCATTAGTAATAGAATAGCTACCCAGGAATGTTTAATTAGTCCTGTTTTTGCAATCCGGTTACCTGTTGATATTCCTAAATCGTGCATTTCTTCCCATTTACATCTTAAATAATCTTTTATAACAAAACAAAACATTCTCCTTCACCCCCACCCCCTCAAAAAAGCAGAATTTACTGTGCATGCCTACATTAGCATTTCTGGTCTAAAGAAGTCATCCTGGTTTTAAAATAAATCAGCCTGTGTAGAGGATTTTTTAAATTTTAATTTCTTTTCATTATAACTTCATAAAATATTGAGCTGGGGCTGGAACAGTAGCAAAGATAGGTTGGAGAAGATTCAGGAGATAAGAATAACCAAGTTGTCAAGGGAGGATGCTGGTGAAGATTTTGAATGTCACAGAATTGTGTTTATTAGCAAGGTGGCACTAGAAGCATTTAGCAACATTTTACAGGAGAGCTTTAGCATGCAGTAGTTTCTTTTCCTCTACGTGGAAACTCAGTTCCCTCTTATCTCCTGGTAATTCTCGTTTTCCCAGTTTGATTCAATGTGACCCTCGTGGCTTTTCACAATATTCCAGTCTAAAGCACTGGTCTTTCTTGTTAGTTAATCAATAACATTTATTTGTGTCCTGACTTTGTTCTTTTTACCCAAAATATCTGCTCAATAATCACCCTTTTTGGCCGGGCATGGTGGCTCATGCCTGTAATCCCTGAACTTTGGGAGGCCGAGGCGGGCGGATCGCCTGAGGTCAGGAGATTGAGACCAGCCTGGCCAATATGGTGAAACCCCGTTTCTACTAAAAATACAAAAATTAGCCGGGCGTAGTGGTGGGTGACTGTAATCCCAGCTACTCGGGAGGCTGAGGCAGGAGAATCACTTGAACCCGGGAGGCGGAGGTTGCAGTGAGCCGAGTAGTGCCATTGCACTCCAGCCTGGTGACAGAGAGAGACTCCGTCTCAATAATAATAATAATAATAATCACCCTTTTCATTTCCTGTTTGGCCTCTTTTCACCTTCACCGTTTGTTATTAAGAGCCACTTAAGTCTCCCTTACCCCTGTGCCTTAGTTGGCTCTATGTGAGACTTACCGAGGCACTTTCTGCACTTGATGTTGTGAACACCTATAAATCTCCCTAAATCATGTCAAGAATGATGCCTAAATAGAGCATGGTAGAATATGGATTGCTATTCTTCTGGTGGTAAAGCCTGCAGAATTCCACACTGAATCATTTTTCCTGACTTGTCTTGTTGTCTTCTCTGTTTTCATTTTTGAATAATATTGAATGTTTAGCTTCAATTTTTTGCCTCTGTCTCTTCAAGCTCTCTTTCCTGATGCTTTTGTTCGTAATATAAAAATAAAACTAATTTGTTAAATTATAACAATAATATGTCCTCATGATTAAAAAAATTGAATAATACAGAAAGATGTAAAGAAAAGAAAAAAATTGCCCTTTAACCTCTTTCTGGCACCTGGTCTGATTTCCCAAAGGTAATTAACTCCTGCTAACTGATCCAGGTTTATATTTTATGAAGTTTTTAACATATATACATGTATTTGTTAATTTCAAAAAAAAAAAAAAATTCTAGATACCTTTCTTCCTATAGACAGAATTGCATATTGTTTCTTGATTTAATCTTTTCTTTATTTCTTACATGACATCTTCTTAGCAGACACTCTTTCATTTCACAGTTATTTATAGAGCACCTACTGTGTGCCAGCATAGGAAATATCAAAGTAAACAAAACGGAAATGGTTCTGGCCTTTGTGGAGCTCATAGCTCTTCATCTTGTTATAAATCTAGCATTAATCCTGTACCTTTATTTTGCTTAACCTTCTAACTTTGATTTGCTATTATGAGAATTATGTTTAGAATATTTCACAACTGTTGTGTATTTTTCTGTCACAACAGATGTGATGTTGACCATTCTTTTGCAAACAATTAACAATCAAATTGGGATTTTCATATGCATACCTAAAGTCTTTTTAGTTGTATCTTTGTGTGCTGTGATCATCTTTACTTTTGGTTTCAATATTCATTATATTATCGGCATAATGATGTGCTTGCTTTTTATTTTGAGAAATAAATATATATATATATATATGTCAGTGTACAGTCAACAGCATTTTGGTATACTTAATTGAGCATCTCTATTTCTATCAATGCTGATGTTTTGATAACAATGATAATGAACAATAAAAAATTATATTTGAGGTATACAGAGTTTAGCTTTTACAAATGTGAATAGACATTCTCCTCTGTGGTGCTAATTCCCCCTTTATTTGTAAATGAAGCACTTCATATTATTCTTCTCTGTCAAATACTGGCCAAATCCTTTTGTACTTCTGCAAATATCAACCTTTTATGTCTTCATCACTTTTTCTTCCTTGTCTTTGATTACACTGGGCTGTCTCTGTTCACCAGCACATTTGTTAACATCTTTTTCTTGATGTATGGAATGATCCAGCTGTCTCATGATGAAACGATGTAACAAATGTCAATAATTTTTATACAAAAGCAAGTTCTATCAGTTTTAGTTCTGTATATGCATTTGCTAAGAAATAGCGATTCATAGGTACTCCAAAGTGTATATAGATGTGGATGTGCGTATATTTTTTTTACTTAAAATACAAGTTTTTGGGGCTGGGCACGGTGGCTCACACCTGTAATCCCAGCACTTTGGGAGGCTGAGGAGGGTGGATCACAAGGTCAGGAGTTCGAGACCAGCCTGGCCAATATGGTGAAACCCCGTCTCTACTAAAAATACAAAAATTAGCTGGGCATGGTGGGGGGAGCCTGTAGTCCCAGCTACTTGGGAGATTGAGGCAGAAGAATTGCTTGAACCCAGGAGGCGGAGGTTGCAGTGAGCCGAGATCACACCACTGCACTCCAGCCTGGGTGACAAAGCAAGACTCCATTTTAAATAATAATAATAATAGTAATACAAGTTTTTATAAGAGGAAACAATTAGTGTATTTAGTTTTATAAACTATTCTAGAAACCATAATTCATCTCCTTTTTTCTGTCGCTGACTTATTGTTGTAAGTGAAAGAGCTCATCTCTCTAACTTCAGGTAACCTCAGCTATTGCCCAGGCACAATTTCTCTTTTCTGAATTCACGTCTCTTTTAACCCAGCCCTTTCTACTTCAAGTTCCTTTCTAATCACAGTCCCCATTTTATCGATTCCTTATACTTTGCCCTTGGGGAACCTTCTTGGATAGTAAACAAAAAGTCCTGAATCATATTCATGTTTTCTCGAATACACTATCTGTGTCCTCAAACTAATAGAATCTTAGTGTTTTCCTAAGAATACCAAAATCTTCGTACTTCTCCGAGGAAGGTCACTTTCCTATTCCCCTCACTCCTAGCACTAGAAGCAGTGTTCATGGATATTATTAAACATTCTTGACCTGCCCTTTTGAAAGTCACTGTATAAACCAAGTCTTAAAACTTTGTGATGTCCCATCTACTTCCGGAGTACTCATTCTTCTACATCAGTGCTTTCAGCCCCAGGCTGAAATGGATGATTTACTCTACTCCAATCCCTGCCATCCTGCAGCACCTCTAAGATTAAAAACAAAGTGAAACAGAATAAAATCTACAGCATTTCTCCAGTTCGATGACCACGATTTTCAGTGGCATATTCCAAATAAAGTCTTCATTGTCCTCATCAGACCCTCCACTCTCCATTTCTCTGGTCCTTTCCTGGCTGCACGTAGCCTCCTTATCTACTCTGGGTAGTCTGACTCTGTTTCTTACAAGCTTTCACATGTACTGACATGTTTCATTATTTGATGTCAGTATACTAGTAAGTGAGCATACTGAATTGAGATTCAGGAGAGGCAGATCTACACCGAGGTGCTTAAGAGAAGAAGATTGATGCAACTGATGCATCTTCAAATTTCTTTCTTGAGCAGTATACTCTTGTCCAGTCGTTTGGCTTTTTTGCAGCAGTGGCTGCATTTGAGCTTCCTCCCGGCCTCACCATCCCATCCTGCCACGCTGAGCTGCCACATTTTACTAGTACAACCTGTCACACTCAACATGGGAACATGTGTCTCTACTGCCCTCTTGTGTCCACCAGAAGAAGTGATGCATGGTGGGCAGGTTGATGCCTTTGGAAGGAGTTTTGGAATGATGACAACTGTGATTGGCATGCCAATGCCTCTTATCCGTTTTCTTAAACCTTTTACTAATATCCTATATTTTTAACAATGTCAAATTTTCTGTTTTTCAAGGACCATTCCTAGATCTTCTGCCTCAATCTCAAGTCTTTATGCTCACCTACCTGTTTGCTGATATCAAAGCTACATGGTAGAAGCACTCATTTCTCTTGGGCTGTCTGTGTCTTCTCTCTTCACTCCTACCTCTGAAGAAGAAAGGTACCTCCTCTGAGCTAAACAGGAACCCAGATTACAGAGTAGAAAGAGCAGATGGAGAAATAATCAGAGCAGAAATGTAGATAGAAAAGGTAGAAAAAGCAGAAATGGAGGCAAGTGTGGACTCTTCTCCAGAAATGTTTAGTCCAAAGGAAGAAAAAAGCCTGATAGTAGAAGAAGATAGCATAAATGAAGGAAAGTTTTCTGCAGTAGGGAAAACTTGAGTTTATTTATAAGCTCAAGTTTTCTGTTACTGGAGAGTTTTCCTCTCCAGTGGAGAGGAACTGATTAATAGAATGTGTCTCAGAGCAAACAGCAGAAGGTACTTACTTCATCCTATATTATTCTGATTTATTTGCTCATCTCACCTTTACTCTTTATATATCCCAACATGTCAAGCACCACACATTGGAAATGAATATGATCAATAAATATTTACTCAATTGAATCATACTGAGAACATTGGATTGGTCCCATTATGAAGCCTAAGTCACAACTAGGGTTCTCTTGAATGGTTCCTGCTTTTGTCTAAATAACACTCCCCACTACCACCATCTCCTACTTTGTAGGAAAAGTGATCCAGTAGAGAGTAGCTCCATTACCATCATTGTTTATATCGATCTTATGGAACACCAAGTTGATGAATTCTTCAGGACTCAGAGTTTGCTGGCCATTGAGGGCTTGTACCGCCTGCAAAAAGACATTAAATGAAAGAGGTCAACTTTTCTGGAAGCAAATACATTTTGCAACATTTCTGCTCCGATGTGACAGAATTTGGGGATGTGTTGTCGGTTGCTATCCAACCTGTACCAGTTGTTAAAAGTAAATAAAAAGAAAAGATTGTATGTCAGTTCTGGGTAATGAGACTTGGAAATTAAATGAACTGAATAAAGACTGAAGCCCTATTTTATACAGCATACAGGGATCCATTCAACATATTAGATCACAACAGATGCAATGAGCCCATTGGAGAAAATATTGTAGTGGTCATGATCATAAGAATTCCAGACCCAGAAAACAGATATTGCTCTCAATTTCAGACAGATTGATTTGGGTCTTATGGATGAAAGTAAAAGGATGACCACAATGCTGTAAGAGTCTCAAGCTTCCTCTCCGGCTTCCACCGCTGGCACCCCTGGTTCTTTGTGCCCTTTTGTGGAATGATTGACTGGGGAGACAGATATATACACCTTAGAAGGGCCCTGAATTTCTCCCACATACTGTCAGGGCCCAGGGGGCAAATGACATTTCCAGCCTTCCTAGAGGGAAGATGTAGCCAGCCTCCCCTAACTCCAAGGTGATTAAATTAAATGACCCAGACTTGACATAGAACTTCAAAATAAAATGAAAGAGGATTATTCATTTGGGAATTTGAACATAACTATCTTGATTGAACATGAAGGAATCTTTAGAAAAACTTCTAGCAACATATTTCAATTAGAGGACACAATCATAAATATGACTCTCTCTCTCTTGCTTCTTCTCAAGCATTACCAAACTTGAGTTCCAGGAGTAATCATAATAAATGATGGTAGCTTTTTATTATCATTATTAACCAGTCTTGGCTTTAGCAAGTTTAGGTCTGATGGATCTCATGGTTAAATATAGGACAGTATTTAAAGTAATAGTTACATACATACAGCATCACATTTGAAGAAAATTTTAAGGATTTCTCAGTGTTTGGTCAGAGGCTTCAAAAGCCTAGAAAATGTGGCCAAGTATCCAGTATCCCCACATTCTGAAGTGATATTAGCCCACATAAAAAGTCATGATAAAAAATTGTGAGATCTTGATTTGTTCATCACCAATCTTCAGGTCATATAAGTGAAAGTGAAATACTGATTGGAAAGTGGAGGAGCACTGAGGGGATAATATTTTTGGAGGGAGTCCTCAGCTTGCTCCGTTTTCCTTCTTTTTTTTAATAGAAGCAGCAGGATCAGGGGATAGGCAAGAAGCTTTTTTTTCTTCTTCTTCTTTCCTTCCTCATTTACTATATGCACTCTTTCTTCCCTAGTTTCCTAATCGCAGTCTCTGAGTACTCCCTATGTGGGAGCAGGAGGACGCAGGAGAGAAAGGGAAGCAGGAGAGTTCTCACTTGGCAAGTACTGTCCCCATTAGCTAATTTCAGTGTTCCCTGGCCTGAGAGGTGTAGACTCTCTCTCCTGCAATTCTGTAGGCATGAATCATGCATCTTGATTCCAGCTGGTCCCTTTCCCGCTTAGAATTTCTTAAAATCTGCAGCCGGGCACGGTGACTCATACCTTTGGTCCCAGCACTTTGGGAGGCTGAGGTGGGCGGATCACGAGGTCAGGAGTTCATAGACCAGCCTGGCCAATATGGTGAAACCCCGTTTCTACTAAAAATACAAAAATTAGCCAGGCGTGGTGGCGGGCGCCTGTAATCCTAGCTACTCAGGAGGCTGAGGCAGGAGAATCGCTTGAATCCAGGAGGTGGAGGTTGCAGTGAGCCGAGATCGTGCCATTGCACTCCAGCCTGGGTGACAGAGCGAGACTCCGTCTCAAAAAAATAAAAAAAACTCTTAAAATCCGCACAATTGCCATTTTTAGACTAGGCAATTCTTTCTTGTTCAGGGCTGTCCTGTGCACCGTTGAATACTTAGCGGCATCCCTGGTCTCTGAGCAATAGATGGCAACAGCCCTACGCCCTCTCTACTCTCCAACTCACCAAAATGTCTCCAGACATTGTGAAATGTCCCCTGAATAGACAGTACTCTAGGTCTACCTGCAGCTTTGAGTTTTCTTCACCTCTTCCAGTGGCTCTGCAGGATAAGATCTAACATAGCTCTATGCCAGCTTCCTCTCACAGTGTTCCATGCCTGATCTATGGAAAACACCCTAGCATCCTTTGTCCCAACAAATTCTAGGAAGGCAGATACTTCCAAAATGTGCACCCTTGCTGCCACTGTTTGCTTCTTTAGACTTCTCACTCATGACTCAGACACTCACTGCTGTGGCCCTCAAATTGCAGGATACAACCACATCTCAATGGTTTCCTAACATCCCCATGTTATTGACCTGGGGGGTCCTACTAAACAAATGTCCCTCAAAAATCCTTAAAAACCTTTCTCTTGACTGTTTTATACCCTTGAAGTGAGATTAAGCTGTAACTATCTCCTTTGTAGAGCCTGCCTATACTGTGGTACTTCCTTGCAATCTCTTAATGCCTGGGCTGAATTCCATTTTAGCCTCTGTATTGTATGCAGAGAGAACTTAGATTATACACTTTGTATTTACCTTGCTGATTTTTTTCACCTGCCCATTATATAGAAAGTGTGTTCCTAGGCTACCAATTTCTCAATAAGTATATATTCCATTGCATTAATTTATTTAAACATTTTCCTCTTTCAGTTTTTTAAAATTTTTTGCTATCTTAAGAGATTCTGTGATATAAATCACAGGACTTTTATCCTTAATAATTGTTTTTCCTGACTCAAAATAAGTAATGCTAACTCTAAAACAAAGATCAGCTTTTAGCCTCTTGACGCAGATTACCACATTTCCCGGAATGTTTTCTCCACTTACACCCTCTCCACAGTGTGTAAGGTGCATTCCTTACCATGCTCTTACCAGAATTTGCTATTATTGTTTTTAGTACTGATTAATTTAATTAGAGACGAATGGTATCTAATTATTAAATTTCTGTTCTGTGCTTTTATTATTTCCATTTTCCTATGTTCTTTTTTTCCCTTTCTAAGTTTAGCCCTTAACTTTAAGGGCTTAATGCATTAAGCATTAAGAAATGCTTTGGTGGCATCCTAAGATCTGTATGCTGTATTTACATTTTCATTGTTTTTAGAAAAAGCTGAGTATTTAAGAGAATATTTTAAAATTTACACGAGGTTGTGTATTCTCTATAGAATATTTGATTTCTAATTTTGTGTTGCAATATATAAGGTATAGGCAGAATTTCTAAATTGTTCACTTGCCAAGTGAATCCTAGCACATTTTTTTTGTGTGAATGATCTATGTGAAATTAAAACATTAGCAATATCGGTATTATCCTACCCTTGAATTCTTTCCATATGTTGGTTAACTCTACATTCGCTTATTTAGCTTTACATTTTTATCTGCTTTGAACGTTTGTTGAGAAGTTTAATTATAAAAGTAGTTCTACTCACTTATTTTTCTGGCATTTTTGCTAATATTTCTACTACGTATTTTATTTGTAACTCAGCTCCTTCATCTATGAAACAAATAATTTGGACCAGATCATTTCTAAGACATCTAATTCTAATGCTCTTTGAGTCTGCCTTACAAATTCAATGTCTTGAATTCATAATATTAATTACACCTCTTATCTTCATTTAGGTATAGTGTCCTGCTTAACCATTTTTTTACTCTGGGATCTTTGTTGTTTCATACCATGATAATAACTATCTCCTACTCCATTGGGGTGGTGGTACAGTGGCTTATAAAGGCACTTATTGAACTTTAGATATGGAAAAGATCTGAGATCCCTGAACCAACTATTAGAAATACTTCAGTATAGCTCCCAGAAAGATTAGTCCTCACATACCTTCATTCTTAGTCCATGTCTCTTGTTAAATATATATAAACCATCTCATAGTTTAGCTATTCCTCACAAGGCATTCTGCACTGAGGCACAGAAAAAGATAAGTTGCTTTACAATATCATATTTGTTTCATTTCTTCATCGCAATGCTCTGTTAAATTTGTGAATGTCAGGGTGGACTGCACCAAGAAGAAAAAGCTGATTTGCTGTTGCCCATTCAGTAATCAATAGGTTAAGTAAAGCTTATATTACTTCAGCAATTCAAAATGTATATCGCCAAAATAGCCAACCCCATAGACAGCTGTTACCTACTCCATAGGAAGGGAAATTGGGTTAACTATATAGCGGCCTGAAAAGGATACTTTACTACTTCACTTACCATGAACATGTCCAGTAGTTCATTTTTGTCAATAGAACCATTTCCATCAGCATCATACAGCTTAAAATACCATTTTAATTTTTGCTCCATTTTTTCTTGCATGATTAGATTTACAGCAGCAATAAACTCCAAAAAGTCAACAAATCCATCCTATGGAAAGTAAGATGAAAAGAGAAATAAATATTTAAGAAGAATAATTGTTTTTTATTTGAGAACTCAGCATTCGTGAGCAGGGCCTTTAGTATAACTTAAATCAATCCATAAGATTTCAGCATAAAACTTTTCCCTAGTGTTTCATTTAAAAAAAAGTTTATAGACACAAGTGACTTTAATTTTACAATTAAGCGCCTTAAGTAAATAGGCATTATTTTTTAGTGTAGTTTTAGGCTCACAGCAAAATTGAATGGAAGCTACAGAGGTTTCCTGTATACTCCCCGTCCCCACACATGCATAGCCTCCCACCAGAATGGTACATTTGTTACAGTTGCTGAACCTACACTGACACATCATCATCACCCAAAGTCCATAGTTTACATTAGTGTCCACTCTTTGTATTTTACATTCTGCAAGTCTAGATATATAATGCCATGTACACACCATTATAGTATTGCATAGAGTAGTTTTGCTATCCTAAAATTCCTCTGTGCTGTGCCTATTTAATCTTCCCTAACTCCTGGCAACCATTAATCTTTTTACGGTCTCCATAGCTTTACCTTTCTAGAAAGTCATATGGTTAAAATTATATAGTATGTAGTATATAGTATGTAGCTTTTTCAGGTTGGCGTCTTTCACTTAGTAATATGCATTTAAATTTCCTCCATGTCTTTCCAGGGTTTGATAGCTCATTTCTTTTCAGCACTAAATAATACTCCATTGTCTGGATGTACCTCAGTTTATTTATCCATTCACTTCCTGCAGGACATTTTGGTTGCTTCCAGATTTTGGCAATTATAAATAAAGTTGCTATAAATATCTATGTGCAGATTTCTTGTGGACTTAAGTTTTTAACCCCTTTGGACAAATATCAGGGGATTTGGATGATATGTAGGAGTATGTTTAGTTTTTAAGAAACTGCCAAACTATCTTTCAAAGTAGTTGAACCATTTTACATTTCTACCAGCACTGAATGAGAGCTCCTGTTGCACCACATCCTCACTGGCATTTGGTGTTTTTAGTGTTCTGGATTTTGGCCATTCTAATAGGTGTGTAGTGGTATCTCCTTGTTTTAACTTGCAATTCCCTAATAATATATGATGTTGAACATCTTTTTGTGTGCTTGTTTACCACCTGTATTTCTTCTTTGGTGAAATATTTGGCCTATTTCTTAATCAGATTGTTTTCCTTTTTTCAATTTTTTTATTTCAATAGGTTTTTGGGGATCAGGGGGCATTTGGTTACATGAATACGTTTTTTAGTGGTGATTTCTGAGATTTTGGTGCACCCATCACCTGAGCAGTGAACACTGTACCCAATGTGTAGTCTTTTATCCCTCGCCACCCTCTACCCTTTCCCCAAAGTCCAATGTATCATTCTTATACCTTTGCATCCTCATAGCTTAACTCCCACATATGAGTGAGAACAGACATTGTTTGGTTTTTCCATTTCTGAGTTACTTCACTTAGAATAATAGCCTCTACTTTTTTCCAGGTTGCTGTGAATGCCATTGTTTCATTACTTTTTATGGCTGAGTAGTATTCCATGGTGTATACACACACACATACACAAACACACACACACACACACACACACACACACACACACACACACATATATATATGGATAATTTTCTTTATCCACTCATTGAATGACAGGCATTTAAGCTGGTTCCATATTTTTGCATTTGCAAATTGTGCTGCCATACACATGCATGTGCAAGTATCTTTTTCATATAATGACTTCTTTTTCTCTGGGTAGATACCTAGTAGTGGGATTGCTGGATCAAACAGTAGGTCTATGTTTAGTTTTTAAGGAATCTCCACACTGTTTCACATAGTAGTTGTACTAGTTTACATTCCCACCAGCAGTGTAAAAGTGTTCCCTTTTCTCTGCATCCACACCAACATTTGTTGTTTTTTTTATTTTTTGATTATGGCCATTCTTGCAGGAGTGAGGTGATATTGCATTGTGGTTTTGATTTACATTTCCCTGATAATTAGTTATTTTAAACATTTTTCCATATGCTTGTTGGCCATGTGTATATCTTCTTTTGAGAATTGTCTATTCATGTCCTTAGCCCACTTTTTTATTATTATTATACTTTAAATTCTGGGATACATGTGCAGAACGTGCAGGTTTGTTACACAGGTATACACGTGCCATGGTGGTTTGCTGCACCCATCAACCCATCATCTACATTAGGTATTTCTCCTAATGCTATCCCTCCCCTAGCCCCCTACCCGCCGACAGGCCCCTCCCTGTGTCCATGTGTTCTCATTGTTCAACTCCCACTTATGAGTGAGAACATGAGGTGTTTGGTTTTCTGTTCCTGTGTTAGTTTGCTGAGAATGATGGTTTCCAGCTTCATCCATGTCCCTGCAAAGGACATGAACTCATTCTTTTTTATTAACCCACTTTTTGGTGGGTTTGTTTGGTTTTTTCTTGTTAATTTGTTTGAGTTCTTTGTAGATTCTCGCTATTAGTCCTTCGTCGAATGTACAGATTGTGATATTTTCTCCCACTCTATGGGTTGTCTGTAAACTCTGCTGATTATTTCTTTCGCTGCAGAAGCTTTTTAGTTTGATTCCTATGTATTTATTTTTGTTTTTGTTGCATTTGCTTTTGGATTCTTGATCATGAAGTCTTTGCCTAAGCCAAGGTCTAGAAGGGTTTTTCTAGTGTTATCTTCTAGAATCTTTATGGTTTCGGATCTTTGATTTAAGTCTTTGATCCATCTTGATTTGAGACAAGGATCTAGATTTATTCTTCTACATGTGGCTTGCCAATTATCCCAGCACCATTTGATGAATAGGGTGTTCTTTCCCCCACTTTATGTTTTTGTTTGCTTTGTCAAAGATCAGTTGGCTGTAAGTATTTGGCTTTATTTCTGGGTTCTCTACTCTGTTCTATTTGTCTATGTGCCAGTTTTTATACCAGTGCCATGCTGTTTGGTTGACTATGGCCTTATAGTATAATTTGAAGTTGGAAATATGACGTCTCTATATTTGTTCTTTCTGCTTCATCTTGATTTAGCTATGCAGGCTTTTTTTTGTTGTTGTTCCATATGAATTTTAGAATTTTTTTTCTAGCTCTGTGAAAAATGGTGGTATTTTGATGGGAGTTGCGTTTAATTTGAAGATTGCTTTTGGTACTATGGTCATTTTCACAATATTGATTCTACTCATCCATGAGCATGGGGTGTGTTTTCATTTGTTTGTGTCATCAATGATTTCTTTCAGCAGTGTTTTGTAGTTTTCCTCGTAGAGGTGTTTCGACTCCTTGGTTAGGTATATTCCTAAGTATTTAACTTTTTGCAGCTATTGTGAAAGGGGTTGAGTTCTTAACTTGATTCTCAGCTTGATCGCTGTTGGTGTATAGAAGAGCTACTGGTTTGTGTACATTAATTTTGTATCCTTAACTTTTGCTGAATTCATTTATCAGTTCTAGGGGCTTTTTGGAGGAGTCTTTAGAGTTCTTTAGGTATATGATCACATCATCAGCAAGCAGCAACAATTTGATTTCCTCTTTACTGATTTGGATTCCCTTTATTTCTTTCTCTTGTCTTATTGCTCTTGGTAGGACTTCCAGTACTAAGTTGAACAGAAGTGGTGAAAGTGGGCATCTTGTCTTATTCTCAGGGGAAATGCTTTCAACTTTTACCCATTCAGTATGATGTTGGCTGTGGGTTTGTCACAGATTACTTTTATTACCTTAAGGTATGTCCCTTCTATACCAATTTTGCTGAGGGTTTTAATCATAAAGGGATGCTAGATTTTGTCAAATGCTTTTTCTGTGTCTATTGACATGATCATGTGATTTTTTTAAATTCTGTTTATGTGGTGTATTACATTTATTAACTTATGTATGTTAAGCCATCCCTGCATCCCTAATATAAAACCCACTTGATCTTGGTGGATTATTTTTTTGATATGCTGTTGGATTCGGTTTGCTAGTATTTTATTGAGGGTTTTTGCATCTTTGTTCATCAGGGTTATTGGTCTGTGGTTTTCTTTTTTCTGTTAGGTCCTTCCTGATTTTGGTATTAGGGTGATACTGGCTTAATAGAAGGATTTAGGGAGGATTCCCTCTTTCTCTAGCTTTTGGAGTGGTGTCAATAGGATTGGTACCAATTCTTTTTTGACTGTCTAATATAATTCAGCTGTGAATCCTGGACTTTTTTGTTGGCAATTTTTTTGTTACCATTTCAATCTTGCTGCTTGTTATTAGTCTGTTCATAGATTCAATATCTTCCTGATTTAATCTAGGAGGTTTGTGTATTTCCAGGACTTTATCCATTTCCTCTAGGTTTTCTATTTTATGCACAAAAAGGTGTTCATAGCAGCCTTGAATGATATTTTGTATTTCTGTGGTATCGGTTGTAATATCTCCTGTTTCATTTCTAATTGAGCTTATTTGGATCTTCTCTCTTCTTTTCTTGGTTAATCTAGTTAATGGCCTGTCAATTTTATTTATCTTTTCAAAGAACCAGCTTTTTGTTTCATATACCTTTTGTATTTTTTTTTTTGTTTCAATTTCATTTAGTTCTGCTCTGATCTTCATTATTTATTTTCTTCTGCTGGGTTTAGGTTTAGATTAATCACGTTTATCCAGTTCCGTGAGGTGTGACCTTATTTGTGCTCTTTCAGACTTTTTGATGTAGGCATTTAATGCTATAAAGTTTCCTCTTAGCACCACTTTTGCTGTATCACAGAGGTTTTGATAGCTTGTGTCACTATTATCATTCAGTTCAAGGAATTTTTAAATTTCCATCTTAATCTCATTGTTGACCCAACAATCATTCTGAAGCAGGTTATTTAATTTCCATGTATTTGCATGGTTTTGAGGGTTCCTTTTGGAGTTGATTTCCAATTTTATTCCACTGCAGTCTGAGAGACTACTTGACATAATTTCAATTTTCTCAAATTTACTGAGACTTGTTTTGTGGCCTACCATATGGTCTATCTTGAGAATGTCCCATGTGCTGATGAATAGAATGTATATTCTATAGGTGTTGGGTAGAATGCTCTGTAAATATGTGTTAAGTCCATTTGTTCTAGGGTATAGTTTAAGTTCATTGTTTCTTTGTTGACTTTCTGTCTTAATGACCTGTGTAGTGGTATCAGTGGAGTATTAAAGTCCTCCGCTATTATTGTGTTGCCATCTATTTCATTTCTTAGGTCTAGTAATAATTGTTTATAAATTTGGGAGCTCCAGGCTGGGCATAGTGGCTCACGCCTGTAATCCCAGCACTTTGGGAGGCTGAGGCAGGTGGATCACCTGAGATCAAGAGTTTGAGACCAGACTGACCAACATGGTGAAACCCTGTCTCTACTAAAAATACAAAAATTAGCCAGGCATGGTGGCAGATGCCTGTAATCCCAGCTACACGGGAGGCTGAGGCAGGAGAATCGTTTGAACCCAGGAGGCAGATGTTGCAGTGAGCTGAGATCATGCCATTGCACTCCAGCCTGGGTGACAGAGCAAGACTCCATCTCAAAAAAAAAAAATTGGGGAACTCCAGTGTTAGGTGAATATATATTTAGAATTGTGATATTTTCCTGTTGGCTAGTCCATTTATTACTATATATTCCCCTTTGTCTTTTTTAACTGCTGTTACTTTAAAGTTTGTTTTGTCTGATATAAGAACAGCTACTCCTGCTCGCTTTTGGTGTTCATTTGCTTGGAATGTCTTTTTCCACCCCCTTACCTTAAGTTTATGTGAGTCCTTATTTGTTAGGTGAGTCTCTTGAAGGCAGCAGATAGTTGTTTGGTGAAGTCCTATTTATTCTGCCATTCTGCATCTTTTAAGTGGAGCATTTAGGCCATCTATATTCAATGTTAATATTCAGATGTGAGGTATTATTCTATTGATTGTGCTATTTGTTGCCTGAAGGTCTGGTTTTTTTTGAGACGGAGTCTCGCTCTGTCCCCCAGGCTGGAGTGCAGTGGCGTAATCTCAGCTTACTGAAAGCTCTGCCTCCCGGGTTCACACCATTCTCCTGCCTCGGCCTCCCGAGTAGCTGGGACTACAGGTGCACGCCACCACGCCCAGCTAATTTTTTGTATTTTTAGTAGAGATGAGATTTCACCATGTTAGCTAGGATGGTCTCGATCTCCTGACCTCATGATCTCCCTGCCTCTGCCTCCCAAAGTGCTGGGATTACAGGCATGAGCCACTATGCCCGGCCTGTTTTTTTTTTTTTCTTTTCATTGTGTTATTGTTATATAGGTCCTGTGAGATTTATGCTTTAAGGAGGTTCTATTTTGGTTTATTTTGAGGATTTGTTTCAAGATTTAGAGCTCCTTTTAGCAGTTCTTGTAGTGCTAGCTTGGTACTGGAGAATTCTCTCAGTATTTGTTTGTCTGTAAATGACTGTATCTTTCCTTCATTTATGAAGCTCGGTTTCACTGGATACAAAATTCTTGGCTGATAATTGCTTTGTTTAAGGAGGCCAAAAATAGGACCCCAATCCCTTCTAGCTTGTAGGGTTTCTGCTAGAAATCTGCTGTTAATCTGATAGATTTTCCCTTATAGGTTGCCTGATGCTTTTGCCTCGCAGCTCTTAAGATTCTTTCATTTGTCTTGACTTTAGATAACCTGATGACTATGTGCCTAGGCAATGATCTTTTTGTGAAAAATTTCCCAGGTGATCTTTGAGCCTCTTGTATTTGGATATCTAAATCTCCAGCAAGGCTGAGGAAGTTTTACTTTACTATTCCCTCAAATATGTTTTCTAAACTTTTAGATTTCTCTTCTTCCTCAGGAACCCAATTATTCTTAGGTTTCGACATTTAACATAGTCCCAAACTTCTTGGAGGTTCTGTTCATTTTTTTTAATTCTTTTTTTTTTTTTTTTGTCTCTGACTGATTGGGTTAATTCAAAAGCCTTGTCTTTGAGCTCTAAAGTTCTTTCTTATGCTTATTTGATTCTATTGCTGAGACTTTCTAGTGTATTTTGCATTTCTCTAACTGGGTCCTTGATTTCCAGAAGTTGTGATTGTTTTTTATTTACACTATCTATTTCACTGAAGAATTTTCCTTTTCCTTTCATATCCTGTATCTTTAAGTTGGTCTTCACCTTCCTCTGGTGCTTCCTTGATTAGCTTAATAATCGACCTTCTGAATTCTATTTTGCAGTTCAGAGATTTTGTCTTGTTTTGAATCCATTGCTGGTGAGCTGGTATGATCTTGGAGTCTTCTTTTGTCATACTATCAGAATTGTTTTTCTGGTTCCTTCTCATTTGGGTAGACTATAACAGAGGGAAGAACTGAGATTCAAGGCTGCTGTTCAGATTCTTTTGTCCCATGGGATGCTCCCTTGATGTGATGTTCTCCCCCTTCCCCTAGGAATGGAGCTTCCTGAGAGCCAAACTGTAGTAATTATTTTTGCTCTTCTGGGTCTAGTCACCTAGCGGAGCTACTGTGCTCCAGGCTGGTACTGGGGAGTATCTGCAAAGAGTCTTGTGATCTGTCTTCAGGCTTTGCAGTCGTGGATACCACCACAGTTTTTCAGCATCTCAGGGAGACTGCAGTGGTGATCTAGTTCTTTCAAAGTGTCTGTGGATTCTCTCGACTTTCCTGGTATGTACCTGTGGTAGTTCTTGGAGCAAAAGTCCATGATGTCAGTCTCCACACACTGCTCCATCCATCTGAGCAGGAGCTGCAAGCTAGTCCTGCCCCTCTCCACCATCCTAATCCAGATTGTCTTCTTATTGTTGAGTTTTAGGAGTTCTTTTTGTATTCTGGATAACAGCCCTTCATCAGCTATGTTTTTTGCAGATATTTTCTCCCAGTTGGTGGCTTGTCTTTTCATTCTCTGACAATGTCTTTTGCAGAGCAGAAGTTTTTAATTTTGATAAACTCCAGCTTATTATTTTTCATGAGTTATGCCTTTAGCATTGTATCGAAAACATCATTACCAAACCCAATGTCATCTAGATTTTCTCCTAAGTTATCTTTTAGGAGTTTTATAGTTTTGCATTTTATATTTAGGTCTCTGATTCATTTTGAGTAAATTTTTGTGAAAGGTGTAAGGTCTTTGTCTAGATGCTTTTCTTTGCACGTGGATGTTTCATTGTTTCAGCACCATTTGTTGAAAAGACTGTCTTTTCTCCACTGTATTGCCTTTGTTTCTTTGTCAATGATTAGTTGACTAGATATATGTGGGTCTATTTCTGGCCCTCTATTCCATCATATTGATTGATGTAACTATTCTTTCAGAAATACCACACTGTCTCAATTACTATACTTTTACGGTAAGTCTTGAAGTCAGGTAGTTTCAGTCCCCCAAATTTGTTCTTCTCCTTCAATATTATATTGGCGATTCTGGGTCTTTTGCCTCTCCATATAACATTAGAATCAATTTGTCAATATTTACAAAGTAACTTGCTAGGATTTTGATTTGAATTTCATTGAATCTACAGATCAACTTGGGAAGAAGTGACACCTTGACAATACTGAGTCTCCCTTTCCATGAATATAGAATCTCTCTCCTTTTATTTAGTTCTTTGATTTCTTTTATCAGAGTTTTGTAGTTTTCCTCATATAGATTTTGTACAGATTTTGTTAGATTTATACCTAATAATTTCATTTGAGAGTGCCAATGTAAATGGTAATATGTTAACTCCACTTATTTATTGCTGGTATATAGGAAAGTGATGACTGATGACTTTTGTATAGAAAACTTTGTGTCTGAAACCTTGCTAAAATCTCGTATTAGTTCTAGGAGGTTTGTCTTTTGTTTTTGTTTTTGGTTTTTTGGTTAATTCTTTTGAGTTTTCCGAAGTTGAATATCACGTTATTTGCAAAGACAGTTTTATTTTCTCCTTCCCAAACAGTTTAAATTTTATATACTTTTCTTGTCTTAATGCAGTAGCTAGGACTTCCAGTAAAATGTTGAAAAGCAGTGATGAGAGGGGACATCCTTGCCTTGTTTCTGATCTCAGTGGGAAAGCTCTTAGTTTCTTACCATTAAGTATAAGGCTTACTGTCAAGTTTTTGTAGATATTCTTTATCAAGTTGAGATTAACTACCTTTTTAGAGAAAATGTTTACTTCTTATGCCAAAGAAACAAACATAAAATGCCATGATAGAAGGCTGAATCCTCACCACTGAACTTCTTCAATGCCTTTCTTCTTCTGAATTTCTTCAGATTTTGTCCTCTTCTGAAGACAAAGTACCAATTTTTAATAGAAGGAAAACATATCAAGCAGACAAATTTTATATTCCTTTTAATAGGAACTGGTTGATATTTTTGGACTGCTAAATTCCAGGTTAGGATTTAAGTGCACAGTTTTAGGTATGAATCAAAATTAATGAGGCTCTTTTCTATAAAGATTTTGTCGTATTCATCAATCTTGGAGAAGATTATTTAAGGACTGCAAGTTTAGGTAGTGTCCCTTATCCTGTTTTCTTATTGGTAAAACATTTTCAGTTGAAACAGAAACAATCTGTGTCACTCTTTAGAATCATATGCTTCAAACCTGGCATACGTAAATGTTCAACTGTTTTAGGAAAGGTGGCCAGCTCTAGGGAGGCATGTGACTCATTCTTCGCTATTTTCCCATGTGAGTTCTGATGCTAACGGTGGCATATCCAGCACAAGAAAACATGCTGCAGGCTGTAGTCTTTCTGGAGTATTTGTGATGCCAGGGCCTGTTTACAAAACCGGGATGTGACATAAAGTAAACCACTGCTCCCCGGAAATAAAGAGCTTTAGATTTATCAGTCTGTAAAGTGTTACGTGTTTGACTGAGTCTCAAGCTTTTGTGAATAGTTTCACGAAGTCTATAAGAAAAGCAACTGAGAAACAACCAATAGTTCTGAATTGGGAAGCAAAGGCTATTTGGCTTTTTAAAAGTTTTTAAAAATAAGATTACCACAATATTTCAGATGTTGGAAGCTAATACGGTAATCACTGTAGCATTGTTTTCTAAACTTATTATACTTTTATTTTCTACACTGTGGATGTTTTACTTTTACAGTCAGAAAGTGATAAGAAAACATTTCAAAGTCATTTTACTACATTTAGTATTAGATTTTTGTGTTTTACAACTTAGACCTCTTTACCCCATCACTAACTCTGATACTTCTTATAAGAGATAAGATTTCTTCTAACAGATAGGATTCTATTTGAATGGGTCTCCTAAAAGAAATTTGTTCAAATACACAAAACCTAACTGATTTTACCTTTTCGCTGCTTGCCTTTCCTACTGCTCACTGCCACTTCACTTTATTAATCCCTAGCAGAGCTATGACTGAGACAAGCGAAATATGTTATTATAGGGTTGAAATTTATTTAAGATGACAACGAGGTATCATATCTCCAGATTGAGCAGGACATGACCATTATTTTTCAGAAACAGGTCTGGAAGTGTGGATGAAATAAGCTGAATGGACAGTATCCAACCAGAGGTACATTTACTCCCAGGCCTTCCTCCAGGGTCTTTAGGGTTGACCAATCAATTCAGCAGTCTCCTGGACAGTTATTGTGTGAATTTACCAAAGAGTCACAGGAGCATCCTCCCTGCAAGCCTGGCTTGTTATTAAGTTGATCCTCCAGAGTTTCCATAAAAGCCTTTTATTTGATGATGGTCTGTTTCACTTTACAAGTTCCACTTCAGTGACTGCATTTTTCAATGTCACCTGCATGATGAATGGCAAAAGGCTAAATAGAGCAATGTTGCCCTTAGAACATTTGATATTTTATTTTTAGGTACAGTACATGGGTGGTCCTAATATCTTTCAATTCAGGCTTTAAGAGCTCTGGGCAAGCCCTTACCATGAGATGCACATAAATATTTTCACTGTATGGTTTTTAAATGAACAACCTGGTTAATCAAACCTTTCTACTTAGACAAGGGCATCCTCTTTCAAAAACTTTTGTAAGCAAAACATTTTGTGTTTTCATTTCAGTATTCTGTCATGCACCCAGGCAAGTTAATCTTTACAATTTACAGCCAATTCTTCTGTTCCATTATCTTTCTGTTAAGATTTTGTAGAAATTTGCATTGGTGAAATGACTTTGGCAAATGTGATTTAATGGCTTGTGTTAGTGTTGGAGGGGGTTTAGGGTACATACTTATTCTATGAATCAGGAGGAAAAAAATTATTGTTTTCAGTTCATCTATGGATTTCAAGGGCTGGAGAGGGGGATAATTATCACTGCAAAGGTGAGGAGATGTCCCTGCAAATGTGACTAAGAAGGATGCAATAGAGAAAGCCCAAAGGTTTTCTTTGGGGTGATCCAAGGGAACAGTTTTTTTTCTTCCTTCTTTTTTTTTTTTTTTTTTTTTGAGACGGAGTCTCGCTCTGTCACCCAGGCTGGAGTGCAGTAGTGCAATCTGGCCTCCCGAGTTCATGCCATTCTCCTGCTCAGCCTCCCGAGTAACTGGGACTACAGGCGCCCACCACCACGCCCAGGTAATTTTTTGTATTTTTAGTAGAGACGGGGTTTCACCGTGTTAGCCAGGATGGTCTCAATCTCCTGACCTCGTGATCCGCCCACCTCGGCCTCCCAAAGTGCTGGGATTGCAGGCTTGAGCCACCGCACCCGGCCGGGAACACTCTTAAGCTCACGTTTCCGTAGTTGAACTTCAGGAGTCCCCTGACACACAGAACTGTTTGGAAATGACGAATTCTTATTGGCCTGAGCCTGAGTGGGGTTCATAAATTCCTTGCATGAGAATCATATGGGGGATAATGAAACATGCAGATTCCTAGACCTCCCACCAAAAAAAAAAAAAAAACAAAAAAAAAAAACAGCATCAAAGCTCCTTGGGATATAGTCCAAGAGTCTGCATTTTAAAATGCTCCCCAGATAAGTCTTATATATCCTAAGATTGGAGAACCATGGACCTAAGCTGTTTTTCTAATCCACACCTTTCTCTGTAGGCAATTTTATCATCTAGCCATCTCTCCAAGTGGCTACTGTAGTTGTGATTTATTCCAATGTGAATTTATGTAACCTTATTAAAACTAATTTGAAAAATTATGACCCATATGGCTCAGTCTCAAAATGATATATGCTATAACAATAAAGTCCAGCAGGCCGGGCACGGTGGCTCACGCCTGTAATCCCAGCACTTTGGGAGGCTGAGGCGGGTGGATCACCTGAAGTTGGGAGTTCAAGACAAGCCTGACCAACATGGAGAAAGCCCATCTCTACTAAACATACAGAATTAGCCGGGCGTGGCGGCGCATGCCTGTAATCCCAGCTACTTGGGAAGCTGAGGCAGGAGAAATGGCTTGAACCTGGGAGGCAGAGGTTGCGGTGAGCCGAGATCGCGCCATTGCACTCCAGCCTGGGCCACAAGAAAAAAAAAAAAAATCTCAAAAAAAAAAAAAAAAAAAGAAGAAGTCCAGCAATCAAACATTAATTTCAAAATAATGGAAGGCATTTGCTTGCATTTCTGGAATACATATGAGTTGCAAGAAATTTTAAGGATTTCTTCACAACACCCCCTTCCTCTCTCATCTGCTTCTCCACATATGTCATACTCTTCCATTTCCTAATCTCTCACTGCCAGCCCTAGCATGAGAACATTTTATCCTTTTACTCCACCAATTTTTCTTGTAATTCTACATCACAAAATTGTAAAGAATCTATTTGGCAATGGCAGAATCCCCCTTTGAAACTGAGGAAGGAGAAGAAATTAAGAGCTCGCAAAGCCAGAACCCATTTTACCCATTCTAGTGAGGCTCAGGAAAGGAGAGTTTGGAAGCATGCATATAAAATATAAAATAATTTTAACCCCAACATGTTTATTGATGTATACATCATGTTCTGGAGTGGATTCCAGGGAAAAGTTTAATGGGGGGCTAGGGGAGGAGGTGTCAGGATATGAAAGTATAACAGCTTCTCAGGCCCTTAAGGGAGTTTGGCTCCATTATATATTGTGAATCGTTTCATAAGGGGGAGAGGAAAGAAATAAAAACTATATGGAGACTTCAAATTTAAGGTTTCTTCTGGTTCCTAAAACCTATGGAAGGTCAACATCACTAATCTTCAGAGAAATGCAAATCAAAACCACAGTGAGATATCATCTCATACCAGTCAGAATGCCTATTATTAAAAAGTTAAAAAACAGTAGAGGCTGGTGAGGCTGCAGAGAAGAAGGAACATTTATATACTGTTGGTGGGAATGTAAATTAGTTCAGCCACTACAGAAAGCAGTTTGGAGATTTCTCAAAGACCTTAAAACAGAGCTACAATTTGACCCAGCAATCCCATTACTGGGTATATACCCAAAGGATTATAAATCATTATACTATAAAGACACATGCACACTCATGTTTATTGCAGCACTATTCACAATAGCAAAGACTTGGAACCAACCCAAATGCCCATCAATGATAGATGGGATAAAGAAAACATTGTACATATACACCATGGAATACTATACAGCCATAAAAAATGAGTTCATGTCCTTTGCAGGGACATGGATGAATCTGGAAACCATCATCTTCAGCAAACTAACACAGGAACAGAAAACCAAACACTGCATGTTCTCACTCATAAGTGGGAGCTGAACAATGAGAACACATGGACACAGGGAGGGGAACATCACACACCAGGGCCTGCTGGGGGGTGGGTGGCAAGGGGAGGGAAAGCATTAGGACAAATACATAATGCATTCAGGGCTGAAAACCTAGATGACAGGTTGATGGGTGCAGACAACCACCATGCCACATGTATACCTATGTAACAAACCTGCATGCTTTGCACATGTATACCAGGACTTAAAATATAATTTTTAAAAAGTCAAAAAACAATAGATCCCGCCGAGGCTGCAGAGAAGAAGGAATGTTTATATACTGTTGGTGGGGATGTAAATTAGTTCAGCCACTACAGAAAGCAGTTTGGAGATTTCTCAAACCACTTAAAACAGAGCTGCCATTTCACCCAGCAATCCCATTACTGGGTATATATCCTAAAAGAAAACAAATCATTCTACCAAAAAGACGTATGCACTTGTAAGTTCACAACAGCACTACTCACAATAGCAAAGACAAGGAATCAACCTAGGTGCCCATCAACAGTGGACTGGATAAAGAAAATGTGGTGCATGTACACCATGAAATACTATGCAGCCGAAAAACAGAACAAAATCATGTCTTTTGCAGCAACATGGATGAAGCTGGAGGCCACTATCCTAAGGAAATTAACACAGGTACAGAAAAGCAAATACCACATATTCTCACTTATGTTCTTGATCTTTTTTTTTTTTTTTTTTTTTTTGAGACTGAGTCTCCCTCTTTCACCCAGGCCTGAGTGCAGTGGCGCTATCTCAGCTCACTGCAAGCTCCGCCTCCCGGGTTCACGCCATTCTCCTGCCTCAGCCTCCCGAGTAGCTGGGACTACAGGCGCCCGCCACCACGCCCGGCTAATTTTTTGTATTTTTAGTAGAGACGGGGTTTCACCGTGTTAGCCAGGACGGTCTCGATCTCCTGACCTCGTGATCCGCCCGCCTCGGCCTCCCAAAGTGCTGGGATTACAGGCATGAGTCACCACACCTGGCCTGTTCTTGCTCTTAAGTAGGAGCTAAACGTTGGGTACTCATGGACATAAACATGGCAACAATAGAAACTGGGGACTACTGGTTGGGGAAGGAGAGGAAGGGAGCAGGTGTTGAAAAACTACCTATTGGGTACTATAATCACTATCCGGATGATGGGATCAGTAGTATTCAAAACCTCAGCATCATGCAAAATACCCAGATAACAAACCTGTACTCCTGAATTTAAAATGAAAATTGAAAAAAAAATAAAAAATAAAAAATATAAGCACATTTTTATATCTATAAAGAAAGCATAAAGGCCGGGTGCGGTGGCTCATGCCTGTAATCCCAGCACTTTGGGAGGCCGAGGAAGGCAGATCATGAGGTTAGGAAATGGAGACCATCCTGGCTAACGTGGTGAAACCACGTCTCTACTAAAAATAGAAAAAAAAAAAATTAGCTAAGCATGGTGGCATGCACCTGTAGTCCCAGCTACTTGGGAGGCTGAGGCAGGAGAATCGCTTGAACCTGGGAGGCGGAGGTTACAGTGAGCCAAGATTGCGCCACTGCACTCCAGCCTGGGCAACAGGGCAAGACTCCGTCTCAAAAAAAACAAAAACAACAAAAAAAGAAAGCATAAAAATATGTATGTACGAATATATGGTTAATTTTTTTCCTTTCTACCATTAAATAGATGAAACTTTAGAAGTCGAAATAAGGAAATAATCAAAATAAGGAAAACGAGAGCTTGTAGTGCTTCTGTCCAACAGAAAACCAGAAGTGGAATATATGGTCTTCAGGCAATGTTCATGAGCTCCCAGAAATCACAGGTGTTTTCAGGATATGATCAATTTGTAGGCAGGTACAAAGTTAAATTATAAGGCTTATATGAGGTGGGGTGTGGCGGCTTATGCTTGTAATCCCACCACTTTGGGCAACTAAGACAGGTGAATCGCTTGAGCCTAGGAGCTTGAAACCAGCCTGGGCAACATGGTGAAGCCCCGTCTCTACAAAAAATACAAAAATAAACCAGGTGTTGTGGTGTGCACCTGTAGTCCCAGCTATTCAGGTTGAAGTGAAAGGATCACCTGAGCCCGGGAGTTGGAGGTTGAGATGAGCTGTGATCTCAACACTGCACTCCAGCCTGGGTGACAGAGTGAGACCCTGTCTCGAAAAAAAAGGCTTATGTACATGTGAAAATATTATCTTATTATTTATTGCTAAGTATAAAAGCTACCATTAATTTTTCAAAAAAAAAGAAAGAAAAAAGCCTATGTCCTGGACACTGTGTTAGTCACTTTCAATGCATTATTTCTAATTCTAACAGCAATTTTGTAGGTCATCTTATTATTCTTACTTTACAGAGAATAAAACTGATTTTCAGAGAAGTTAAATAAATGAATTAAAGTAACAAAAATGAGGACGGGGTAAATGCAGGATTTAAACCCAGTCAGCCACACTCTTAAAGGCCTTGGTTTTTGGTACCACCCACTGTTACCCTCAGAATTCATTACAATTAAATTGTCTTTCTAGGAGAGGCGTCACAGACTTGAGTAGATGGGACACGTTCAGTGCAGTGCGCTATTCTGGATTCCTGTGTGTGAGCTACTTGGTAGTAGACAGAATTGTATAAAGTAAGGAAATTCAGAGGTGCTTGGAGATGAAGATGCTGCACCTTGGAGCCTGTGTTCTTTTCATACTAGCTCAAGGGAAGTCTGGCCTGGGTACAATAATCTGCTCAGCCTCCTGGAGACTTTGAGCCCAGACAGCTCTTGGGGCCACCACTTCTAGGGCCCTCCCACACCTCTCCTTCAGTGCCATCTGGCTCATTCTCTTTTTATCCTCCTCTGCTTCCTGGTGTATTTCATGAACATTTCTTGTGTCCATTTTGGAATCCTTAGCCCTCTGCCACCCGCCCGTAAGTTTAACTTTCAGCACCCCATAGACAATAGTCTCCCTCAGCCTACAGTGTACCCAGGAAATGTTCCCAAATGCCCTTCCAAGGCCTGACGTGTTCATCCTTGTCCAGCCTCAACTGACCTTGTTGTTAATCTTCACCCACACTCTCGGCCAGGAATCCACAGCTGGCTTTTGCTGTGCAGTCTGTCTTTGCTTTGATTCAGCATCTCTCCACCCACCTGCCATCCAGGGGGCCTCGTAGCTGCATTATAGGCCAGACTAATTCTTCCATTCTCCCCACCCTGTGCAATCCCTGGGTGAAATTTCACTGCAGATACCATCTGATATGCCCAGTATGGTCCCACCGTTGCTCCCTCTCTGTTTGCTTGCGTAACTCCAGAAACAGATACTAAAATGTTATCTTAGTATATTTCAGAGACATCTGCTTTGGGGTTTTGTCCCAATAATAGAGCTATGAATTTATAAATTGAGTAATGTCATTAAGGGAACTTGGCTTGATTTCATTGCTTCAAATCTTAAGAATTTTAGTTCTAGAAACAGTCCTTTGATTTTAGATGGGAAACAGACTGAACTAATAATAATAACATAATAAACGTTATCATGATGACAATTATAATTACTGGTGTTGATGTAATACTTGCTATCCATATAAGACCAGGCACTGTGCTTTGCACACATGAGGCCTACACAGTGTTAACAAAGAGTTCTAATAAGGCCCTACACAGTGTTAACTAAGAACCATAGCATCTAGAGTTCTAGTAATATTAAGACTACAGAAGGAGGGGAACGCGGTGGCTCAAGCCTGTAATCCCAGCACTTTGGGAGGCCGAGGAGGGTGGATCATGAGGTCAGGAGTTCAAGACCAGCCTGACAAAGATGGTGAAACCCCGTCTCTACTAAAAATACAAAACTTAGCGGGGCGTGGTGGCAGGCGCCTGCAATTCCAGCTACTCGGGAGGCTAAGACAGAGAATTGCTTGAACCCGGGAGGCGGAGGTTGCAGTGAGCCGAGATCGCACCACTGCACTCTGATAGAGCAAGACTCTGTCTAAAAAAAAAAACAAAAAACACAGAAATAGAAATTGTTGTTATTACAGCAACTAGGGATAAACCCATTTATTCTATGTACTCTCTAATTTAGGAAAACAATCCATCTCCAACAAAAATTCACTGAACTATAGACTCAGATCAAAACTGATTCCCCACACAGCATTAACTTTCAGTTATTTTTCATAGCATCACTATCTGTGAAAAATTCATGAATTTTCACAGCCCCATAACCTGAAGACATTTGCATGCTTTCTTTAACATATGACACTTTTCAATGACATTTTACCAGCTGTGGTGAGTTGGTAGCAACATATGATTGAAATGTCTCTGAAAATGATTACTCAGATGGTCAGAAGTAAGGAAACCCAGACGGCTAGCATAAGCACATTACACAATTGATCAATAATTGTCAGTGACATTTAATTTACATTTTAGGAACTTTAAAAATAGGCAATATAAGGTCCTTTCAGATTAAATATATATTAATACCTTTTGTGAATTTTAAAAATCTGTAAGGGAAATGTTGCGTACAGGATTTATGACCTAGCCTATTTTCACCCACAGATACTAATATTAGCAGCAAACACAGTCTCTATGAAACATGGAATTGCTGGAACGTCCTGATGAGAGGCTTGCCTCTGTGAGATCAGAAATATACTGCTGGCTTGGAAATTGGTTATATAATGTGATCTTTATGCAGATCTGAGATCACACACTGTTGTTCTTGACTTGACCATGACTGTAATAATTCAAGGGGTTCTGAGACAAATGACTTCTCATAATATTTACCAAATGAGCTCTTGATTATTAATAGGTTTTCTGGATATCAGAAAGCCCTAGCCATCTGCCCCCAGAATGCAGCCAGCTTAGCAGGTCCACTGTGAATCAGAAGTCATCTCATGTGGGTTTGGGGAAGGCAAGACAATTGTCCAAGTTTGACCACTTCTGAATACTATAGTTAATTACTGCAGACCTAGGACTACAGTCACAGTAGCCTTTTGCAAGGAAATTCCTCAGGTAGACATTATGGGCTTCCTCTTATAAGCATCTGTCTTCCTAAACTGATATTGCAACAGATAAAATAAAACCCAGCTTCACCCTTATTCAATCAGCCTTTCTCCTACAAGTGTTTCATTTCCCTTTTAAGAGCCTGGATCCTTGCTCCTTAATGAATAGAAGAGGTGAGTTGAGAATGTAGAAAATGGCAGAATTTGATGGTGGGATGGATGGTTATATAACTGTTAATATATTACTTGCTTCAAGGCTTTTTTTTTTTTTTTTTTTTTTTTTGAGACGGAATCTTGCTCTGTCACCCAGGTGGGAGTGCAGTGGCATGCTCTCACTGCAACCTCCGCCTCCCGGGTTCAAGAGATTCTCCTGCCTCAGCCACCCGAGTCGCTGGGATTACAGGCGCCCGCCACCATGCCCGGCTCATTTTTGTATTTTTAGTAGAGACAGGGTTTCACCATGTTGGCCAGGTTGATCTCAAACTCCTGACCTCAGGTGATCCACCAGCCTCAGCCTCCCAAAGTGTTGGGATTACAGGCATGAGCCACCGCGCCCGGCCAAGGCTGACTTTTTTTTTTTTAACCAGGACTGTAACTAAAAGTCAGAAGAACTGCTTCTGAATTAGTAGTTTTGGACTCAGAATCCCCTTTCTTTATGTACCCATGGCACACATATAGACGGCCCCTTAGTTTTCTGTCACTTAGACTGCGGTCTCTCTTGGATAGCAGTGATCCTCATGTGTGGCTACACATTAGAATCATCAGGCAGCTTAAAAAACAAAACATTGTTTTGATTTAGTTGTTCTGAGTTAGAAACACAGCCACTGGTATTTTTAATAATGTCTCTAGGTGCTTCTCATATATAGCCAGAATGAAGAACCACAATTTCAATAGATTCTGTTAAAATACATGAATTACAACAGCTTACATTTAAATGTATGTCAGTGGGTAAAGTTGATGTCTTTAACAGGTAAAATTCTGTGAGAAGCTTAACCAAAATGTTGTGCTTGATAGTATATATGAAAATTCTTTGTAAATTATGAAGTGCCAAACAAATATGATGTACTTTATTATCACAACAAATGCTTCCTGAGAGCTTCCATGCTAGTAGCTCTGAACCCTTAAGAGATTGCAACTTAATGATTTACAATGTAATATAAGATCATTTGCTTCCAGTAAATGTATCTTATGAATATAAACCGTTAATTGTGGTCACCTTGTAGGCCAGAAAACCCAGTACAGCGTTATAGGTTGCAGGGTAGCCACGGGTTAATGAACAGCAGTGATTATGACACAAGTTAAAAGGCATGTTGCCTGCTCCAATTTTTAAGGGCTCCTATACAAAGAAGCTAGAGAGCAGATAACCAAAGGTCACTTCTGAATTTCAAGTAGAGCTGGGGCTCCCAAGCATGAGTCCTGGGTTATAGTAAGACGATAGTCAAAATACTAAGATGATTCTCATTTAATGAATTTCATGCCATGATTGGCAGCCATTGCAAGGGGCAAATGTTGCCCAAAACAGCACGAATAAATGTCCAAAGCATTAAGAAAAATTAAAAACAAGAAATGGCAGGAAAGCAACTCCTGCACCTGTAGAAACACCTTTCGTTTGGAAATACAAGCTTGATAAGAAGTACTGTTAAATCTGCACTGTTATCAAACCTGTGAGGGCTGAGGTCAGAGTTATCTGCATTTTACAGACAAACATTCCATTCATTTGTGGACTGGATTGCACATTTTTTCAAAGTGTTTTCAACTGCATTATTTCACATGAGCTCAACGATAATGCAGGCAGCATAGGTCTTGTCCCAGTTTTGGAAATGAACGATTTGAGACACAGAGAGGTTAATGGTCTTGTCCAAGATTACATACCCCAAGTAAGGGTCAGAGTGGGGACAGGAGGCCAGACATTCTGATTCTTCCCAAGGTGCTGCCTGCACTCTCCTGTTGCTGGGCTGTGATTCATATCATAAAGAGATTCCCTAAGGGGCTCATTTAAAAAAAAAACAAAACCAGCAAGGACTTCTGCTACATTAAAGCTAAGATGTGGTTTATGAACAGATTTGTAGGTAAACCATCATCACATCCACTGTAATAATCATTATTCAAATCCCACAGCCCCGCTACTTCTCATTCCTCTTCCTGTCCAGGATAAACCTCTGCCCTGTTTCTAAGAATTCACTCATCATCCCCTCAGTCCTGATGTCCAGGCTTTGGCTGAAGCTGCTAACTGAAAATAACAACCTAAGGATTTTCTGGGTGTTTTGTTTTATCCTGGAGTTTACATGAACCTAATGCTGACAACTGTTCTTCTGGCTTAAACTGGCACTCCATTTGTGGTTTGAGTTCCAAACCCATACATTTAGAGAAACCATTTTACCTCCCTCTGTAAAGATCTTTGGAGTCCCAAAAGAGGCAAAGACTTTTGACAAGTCTTTTAGACCCGTTTCCCTCCTCCATTTCATTCCCCTGCCACCAAAAATCAGACTTCTATTAGTCCAGTTTTGCCCTTTGGAAATGGGCTCATCCCTGCCTTCCTGCATCTGACAAGTGAGTATTCTTAGAGGAGTTTTGGCCTAGTTTAAGGGTCAACAATGACACTCTATTTGGATAAAACCCAGATGCCTAGGTGTGGCCCTGAGGGCCATTTATTTACCTTCACACCTATTACAGCAACAAGAAGTTGGACCAGAAGCTGGAGGTATCATCAAAGGCTGACTTTCTGCTCTGAGACTCTCCAAGCATCTCAGTGCTCTGAGTGTCTCATTTCTCAGCTAGGATGTAAGTGTAGTCCTGACGACTGTTTGGTTACCCATATGGAGCAAAAGTTCTAGTTGAGACACCTAGAGTCTGTAGCCAGTTATGCTCTAGCTGTAACCCTCTGCCTCAACTAGACCCCCAAATGCCATCTCCCTCTTCCCTCCTGCTCTAATTAGAGCTGTTTTTTCCATTACAATTCTCAACTCCTTTGTTAAAGGTGGAATAACACACCAATTCAAGGGTGCAGTCAGCATTCTAATCCTGATGTGTAGTTTCTGGCAAGTTACTTAACTTCTCTGTGCCTCAGGTTCCTCATGTGTAAATGCGGATGAGAAAAATAGTATCTACTCTATAATATTGTTGTAAGGATTCTATGAAATAATAAACATAAAATGCATAAAAGGGTGACTGGCACAGAAGTGTTGAGTGTTAGCCTTTATGAGTAATAATCAAAGTTTTTCACTTCTTTCAAGATCCCCAAATGCCTCAACTTCTCCAGAAAGCCTTTCCTAACTAAGTCCATCGCTCAACCTCTGCTGCATCTTCTGATCCCAGCAAATGAACCTTGGATCACACAGTCAGTCCTGCTTATACTGTCTTGCTTTATTCATTGGTTATATAATCTCGATATAACTTTTTTCCTCACCTAGGTTATAAATTATTCGAGGGAACAGAAAATCATGTTTTCTACCTATTCACACACCCCTAGCCCCACACAACCCTAATATTTGAATGTAATTTTTCTATTCTTACCTGCCCTGCTGGGATGGGATTGAAGAATTCCCCTAGGGGACCCTTCACCATATTACCAGGTTTAAAAGCAGCCCTTAACACCATGGGTCCATTTGGAACCTTGGAACCACAGAGTTAGTACAATGTGAGGGAAACCTCTCTCAAGCTTTGATTCTTTATTTACTTCTTTTTATTTTCTGAGGATGTGCCTATCTTCCCCACTAGATTGTAAAGTCAATTTAGGACAGAGACTAATTATTATCCATCTTTGTGGCATCCTTCCCTCCTCCATGCCTCCAGGTGCTTAGTAAATATTTGCAAGTGCAGTGAGATAATAATACAGATGTTAACTATGTGAGTTTGCTCCTGGCAATCTCTCCTGTCATCCAGGTCTCCCCACATTCATAAAGACATTCATTGCCTAAGAGATAGGTCACTGTAGCAGAAAATGAAGCAGGAATCAAGAGTTCATTCTTAGCTCTCAAGTTTCAAAGGTTGAAGCCATTTAGGATTCAGAGCATAAAGTTTATGCCATAAACAAAAGATTTAGAAGAATGCATAATTAGAGAGAGTTTTTCTAGTTTCTCCACTCTACTCCTAAACTACATGAAGATTCCATAGGCTGGGAAGGTGTGGAATAAGGGAAGGAAGAGAGAGTTGCCAGGTATCGAGGGGGAGTGGGGGCGCTGATATGTGAGAGCCAAGAATGGTTGGATGACAGATAATAGAAACACCACGTTTGGCAATTGTAAGAGCAGAAGCACCCGTGATTCACCTCCTGGGTAGAGATACACCAAGTTCCCCTGCACCTAGCGTAGACTGGGAGAAAAGGCTGTAGGTGTATGTGGCCAGAGAAGCCTGACCCAGACTAAGAGGCCTTGGAGTATAAAGTAGCTGAGGGAGAATCTGACTTAGGAGGCATAGCTGTGAAGAAACAACAGCCCTCTGCATGAATCAGGAGATAAGGAGGGGGACTATCTCCACAAATACTGGTGTAGACAGATTCTCCCCCAACACCTTGAGGTTTGGATGCACATTTGGGGTTTACATGCAATCCTGGAGAGTGGCGGGAGAGCCCTCCTTCGTAAAGGAGGACTCAAAATATAAATTTAGTAGAAAACTACAGTAACATTTCTTGAATGCCTGAGTATGGAAGCTGAAATTCTTACCAGATACACAAATAAGAAATACATTTTAGTCTGTTATCCCTCACGCCCCCCTCACTTTTCCCCACAAGTCCCCAAAGTCCATTGTATGATTCTTAAGTCTTTGCGTCCTCATAGCTTAGCTCCCACATATTACTGAGAACATACGGTGTTTAGTTTTCCATTCCTGAGTTACTTCACTTAGAATAATAGTCTCCAATCTCATCCAGGTCACTCCACCTGTACCCCAATAACTTATAGAAAAAATTTTTAATTAAATAAATAAATATAATGATAAACCAAATTTAAAATAAGCATATAAAGTCTGTGGACAAAACAAGAAATCCAAATAAAAAATAAACATATAAAGAAAAGAAATATATTTTAAACTTCTTCTTGAGATAATTACTCCAATTAAGCACTAAGTTACAATGTGGAAGATATGGTGGCCTCCTTTAGAATATATATGGGGAAAAAAAGGAGGGAAAGAGAGGAATGGAAAGGAAAGAAGTGCATATGTAAAAGTGAGCCTACTTAAGTTGTTTCCTGCAGGGTAAACACACCTGATAGGAATAATTTCAAGGGAAACCTGAGGATGACCCTGTCTGGCAGATGCACCTGAATGTGTTCTGAGCTAGAGAATCTGGGAGTGGCCAACCCAGAGATTTGTTTCTTGTCTATGAGGAACATCTAAGCCCCTGTCCCGTCCTGTGGAACATGGGTCACAGGTGATTGAGGCCCTGAATTTTAGGTTAAATGAAGGTTGCCAGGTGGAGGTCAGTAAGGGGAGGGTCTTAACTGAAAACACTATAGCAACTGCATGCTGTTTGTAAGTGACTGCAGTTTTCCTGCCCAGCCCGCCACCACTGGGCCATGCAGTTATGTTGTGCAGCCCCTGCCACTGGGCTCTCTCTCATATATAAGCCCCTAATGCAACCCCGTGTCTCATTTGCTGGCTCTGGGCAGCTTGTTTGGCCTCTTGAACCTGGTGCCTTCCTTATGAAGGTTAATAGGGGTTCAGCACAACATCTATTATTTTATTTAATCACTCAGTAAATATGTTTGCTATCTCCTGTATGCCATCATGCTATAATAGGTGCCCGTTCTAGGGAAATGTGGGATTTGAGGGGGTCAATAATCCTCTTATTCTTCATATTTCTGTACTGTTGTTTCATGAGGATGAATTGATGCACCACTTGCACTTAAAAAGAGAAAGGAGACTTGGAGAGGAGTAAACGGAGGGTGAGAAAGAAGGCAGCATGCCTGAAGTGCAGAGCACAGGATGAGTGCAGGGCCAGGTGCTCCTTCATCCTCAGCCTCTGCATGGATGTCAGTACAGCAGAAGGAAGTTCCACTCTGTGCACTCCCTAGGAGCAGAGCCAGAGTGCAGGTGCATTCCCAGAACAGCAAGTACTTTCCCGAGAATTGGGTGTTTTGTATCAATCTCCAAGTGAAGCCTACGGATGCTTAGGTGAGAATAGTGCAGTCCCTGCCCACTTTCACTGCCTTTGAGGAACCAATGGCCAGCAACAAAAATCTACAGTTTCTGTTATATCTGTGCTGGCCCGCACCTGGCCCTCAAAGGCTCACTAGGCTGTCACCAGGTTTTGCGTTGGCAGTGGTAGTTGCTGTGGCTGGTCTTTGGAGCCCACCTAACTTCAAGTCCCATCATCTCACCTGGTTTAGGTGTAACACTGACCACAAGAGCCACATACTTTCATTTTGTACTCATCATGGAGACTTTATATTTTGACACGTTTGCGCCAGTCTAGGACATTGGCTTTGAAGTCGGTAGAATTTTAATAATGGAATGGACGATTCCCAGTTGTAGAAACTAAGGAACTTGTGTTGCCAAGTCTTTCCCAGAGACAGATCTTAATTTTGAGAGGAGCAGTTTCCATCACTGACCTCACCTAGTAAGATTTGCTGTCTTCTGTGCTATCTTTAAATTTTTAAAGCATCCTGTTTTTAAGCATGTACGTAGAACATGTACATATTTAAAAATAAATACAATTAAAAGGCCTATAATTAAAAACACTGAACTTGTGGGGTTTTTCCTAGTCTTAACGTTTGTAATTAAGATGCTTATTCTTATATCTTGATTTATTAATTTTAGACATTGGCTTCCTGTTATACTAAAAGAGAAGTATTTAATTTTATGACCCTCATATAACCCAATGATATGCTGGAGCGTATTTCATCTGCCAGTGTGAGCTGATTGTTAAATTGTATAAGCCAAGTATTAAACAGTCATTAGTTTCAAAATTGGCCACCGCGCGAGTATTTACTCTATGGAAATCAGCAAATGTCACCAGAGTTACCTGCCCTTGAACCCTCTGAGCTAATGAAGGATTCGCCAGCACACTATTGTTCTCCCACCAGATTCCCTTAACTGTAGTTAATCTAAAAGAGTTTCATTTTAATGATTGTGGTAATTTGTTTTTTGAAACAGGGTCTCTGTCACTCAGGCTAGAGTGCAATGGTGCAATCACTGCTCACTGCAGTCTCAACCGCTCCAGACTCAAGCGATCCTCCCACCTCAGCCTCCTAAGTATCTGAGACTATAGATGTGAGCCACTGTGCCCAGCTACTTTTTTTGTGCGTTTTTTTTAGAGACAAGGTTTTGCTATGTTGCCCATGCTGGTCTCGAACTCCTGCACTCAAGCCATCTGCTCGCTTTCTTGGCCTTTCAAGAGTGTTGGGATTACAGGCGTGAGCCACCATGCACAGCCTATGGTACATTTTGTTCTCTGCATAGCCGTGGCATACCAAAATTATTGACTTCCTTGTTATACATGGAGTTAGTAATTGCCTCATTGTAATCAGCCTGACACCACCTGAACCTAGCAGACAATTCACTAAAGTAAGACAACCAATAATTATGTGCCTGTAAAGTATTCTTGCCAAACAAATCTGAATCTATTTACGTTTCTATAGCTAAATACCGGTTTATAGGTAATATGAAGAATCAAAAGCAAGTTAGATGACACAAGAGGACAATCAGATACATTTACAATGCGGGATATTCTACAGAACCAATGACTCACTTTCCCTAATGAATCATTGGCATGAAAAAGGAAGAAGACGATTAGAGAACTATTACAGAAAAAAAAATGAAGACTTGAGAGTCATAACCACAACTGCAACATGAGCACCTTGTTTGGATCCTAGCTCAAATCAAGAATCTGAAAAAAAAAAAAAAAAAAAAGTATGCTTGAAACAATCGAAAATTGGTCCACAGACTGGGTATTAGATGATATTAGCAATTATTAGTTAATAATAATGTGTATTTCAAAATCACTAAAAGAGTAGATTTTAAATGTTCTCACCACAAAGAAATGATAAGTATGTGAGATGATGTATATTTTAATTAGCTTGAGTTAATCATTTCACAATGTATTAACTACTAACAGCCTGCTATTGCTTGGAAGCCTTACCAATAACAGAAACAGTTGATTAACACACTGTTTCTATGTTATGTATACTGTATAATGCATTCTAACAATAAAGTAAGCTAGAGAAAATAAAATGTTATGAAGAAAATAATACGGAAGAGAAAATATATTTACTATTCTTTAAGTAGAAGTGGATCATCATAAAGGTCTTCATCCTCATCAGGATATCCTCACGTTTGAGTAGGCTGAGGAGGAGGAGGAAGAGGAGGGGTTGGTTTTGCTGTCTCAGGGGTGGCAGAGAAGGAAGAAAATCTGTAAGTGGACCCTCACAGTTCAAACCTGTGTTGTTCAAGGGTCAACTGTGTATCATACCATAGCATTATACCCCATAAATATATACCATTATTTAAAGTTTGTCTATTTAAAGTTTGTCTATTTAAAGTTTAAGATGGAATTACTGTTATTTTTAGGTATGCTAATGGCATAGTACTTATGGTTTAAAAATGTCCTTATTGGTATAGATGAATAATAAATATTTTTAGGATAAAATTACATAATGTTGGAGTATTTTTTCTTTTAAAAAATCCAGAAAACATGTAGGAGGACAGATGAAACAAAAATGGCAAAATTTTTATAATTGCTGAAGCTGGGTGATGGGTCTATGAGAGCTATTCTACTTTTGTATGTGGAAAATTTTCATAATAAAAATGTTTAAGGTATTTCATTTTAAATTTTGGTAGTTTTCCTTGTACTTTGCCTTGTTACTTTCAGTCAAATATAGCATCAGATTTGTTAAATATTAAAAAATTAATATTGCTTTTGAAATCCTCAAACATAGTAGCTGATTCATCAATGTCATTTTTTAAGGTCTTCCTCCCAGGGTCCCCCTTCTTCCTTCTCAAACGGGATTAGCAGCTCACTGGGCTTTCTGCATATAGCTGTTGATCTGGACTTTCCTGTTCTATGATCCTCAGACTGCCCTCACCTGATTTCCTATGTTGGATTCCTCTTTCCCTGTTTGTTGATACATGTCCTCTGATATGGTTTGGCTCTGTGTCCCCACCCAAATCTCATGTTGAATTGTAATCTTCAATGTTGGGAGAGGGACCTGGTGGGAGGTGATTGGATCATGGGGGCGGTTCTCCCCTTGCTGTTCTCATGATAGTGAGTTCTCACGAGATCTGGTTGTTTAAAAGTGTGTAGCACTTTCCCCTTCGCCCTCTCTCTCCCGCCACCATGTAAAGACGTGCTTCACCCTTCTATCATGATTGTAAGTTTCCTGAGGCCTCCCCAGCCATGTCTCCTGTGCAGCCTGCAGAACTGTAAGCCAATTAAACCTCTTTTCTTTATAAATTACCCAGTCTCACGTAGTTCTTTATGGCAGTGTGAGAACAGACTAATAAACCCTCATTTTTGATGGAGCACCTACTCCAGAGCTTCCTAAAAAAAAGTAAGTGTGAAATAAATTTTCTAGTCTTTGCATGTCTTTATTCTCTCTTCATGTTTGATTTGGCTCGATAATTTCCTCTCAGAATTTTGGAAGGTTTTTTTCCACTTTTAGCTTCTGGTGTTGGTGTTAAGAAGCTCAATGCTATTTTGGTTTCTATTTCTGTTTTCTTTCCTTTCTTGAAAGACTTTAGGATTTTCTCTTTACCCTTCTTATAAAATTTCTCAGAATATGCTGTAGGTTGATGTCTTTCTGCATATTGTGCTGGGCCTTGTGAAACTTGTGTCTAACAGATCTGGGAATTTTTTTTTTTTTTTCCTGAGATGGAGTCTCACTCTGTCACCCAGGCTGGAGTACAAGGGCACGATCTCAACTCTCTGCAACTTCCGCCTCCCAGGTTCAAGCAATTCTCTTGTCTCAGCCTCCCGAGCAGCTGGGATTACAGGTGCCCACCACCACGCCCGGCTAATTTTTGTATTTTCAATAGAGATGGGATTTCATCATGCTGGCCAGGCCGGTCTCGAACTCCTGACCTCAAGTGATTTGCCTGCCTCGGCCTCCCAAAGTGCTGGGATTACAGGCATGAGCCACTGCAGTGGCCAATTTTTCTGATTTTTTTGTTATAATCTCCTATTTTCTCTGGCCCCTTTTTCTGTGAGTCTTATTAATAGGATAGTAGACCTATTCAGCTCAATTTAAGGAGTTTACTTGGAGAAATCCATGTGTGGAAGGAAACAGGGAGGGAGTCTGTAACAGTTGAGCCAGCTGTCAGACCATGGTGTCAATCTGATCCAGGTGAAGAAGAGAGGAAGGGAAGGTTGGGAGAAGTGTCCTAGGCACTCCTGCAACCGAAGGTCCAGCAAAGCTGCCAGGGAATCCCTGAGCCAAAGCCTGTAGACAGAGGACTCTCCTGTCTGTTAGGAATAACCCGGCCTTAGTATTTTTGCTGCACTCAATCACTGGTGGTAGTCTAAGCCCAGGCAGCATGGACTCAGGGCAAGCACAATTTGAATTCTAAAGTGAAGCATCTAGGGCATTGGTCAATTACATTCCCCAAAGGTCTGAGGTGCTAAGGCCATAGCCATTCCTATAAAATAGGTTCCATTACCATTGTGACGGTTGAATGTATTCATCTATTCAGTGCACCTAGAGCAGTGTCAGGCACATCATAACCACTCAAAAAGTGGGTTTTGTTTTCCAGCTTTATTAAGGAATAGTTGACAAATAAAAATTATATATATTTATGGTATACAATATGTTATTTTTATGTGTATTCAATGTGAGATGATTAAAAGAAGCTAATTTCTATATCCATCACCTTATCACATACTTACCTTTTTTTGTGGTGAGAACATCCAAGATTTTCTTTCTTAGAAATTTTCAAGTATGAAATATTTTATTAACCATAGTCACCATGCTATACAAGATGCCCAGAACTTATTCATCCTGCATAACTAAAACTTTGTACCCTTTGACAAACATCTCCCTATTACTCCTCTTCCCCATCACCCCCAGTCCTTGGCAAGAGCCATTCTACTCTCTGCTTCTATGAGCTTGACTTTCTTAGGCTCCACATATCAGTGAGGTTGATTATGCATTACTTGTCTTTCTGTGTCTGGCTTATTTCACCAAGCATGTCCCCCAGGTTCATCTATGTTGCTGGAAATGACAGGATTTCCCTGTTTTTTTAAGGCTGAATAGTATTCCATTGCATATACATGGCACAGTTTCTTAATCCATTCATTTGCTGATGGGTAATACTTGGGTTGATTCCATATCTTGCCTGTTGTGAATAGTGCTGCAATAAACATGGAGTGCAGATAACCTTTCAACATACTGTTTCCATTTCCTTTGGATATATACCCAGAAGTGAGATTTCTGGTTCATATGGTAGTTCTATTTTTAATTTTGTGAGGAACCTGCATACTGTTTTCCATAGTAGCTGTACTAGTTTATATTCCCACCAACAGTGTGTAAGGTCTCTCTTTTCCCCACATCCTTGACACTCAGAAAGTGTTATTGTTATTGAATGCCAAGGAGAAATCCACCATGCTGTGTGATTAGCAAAAAATATTATTATAAATTTTATGCTTTAAATCTCAGAATGTATTTACTTTTATTTTAAGCACTATCCTAATAGGCTTGCTTAGCTTGAATACAATCCAAAGCCAGGTTAGAAATGGCACATTAAAAAGAGATCAAAAGCTCATTAATATTATAACAATAAGAAAGCTGTGAAATGTGAGGTTGACAGCAGGAGAAAAGACAGAACAACAAGAAAAAGCAAACAGAATGATAAAAGCACAAATTTTCAGGGTTTTTAACATTAGGAAACAGCTCCAGAAACTTCAATGGGAATGGGTGTCTCATGATATTACACAGAATGTAACAACTGCTGTTCATAATAATGACCCTGATATATTAAGGAAGTGCTTTACCAGCACTTTGAGGAGGTAGAAAAGTATGAAATGCATTTTAAAATAATTTCCATCTATAGCACATAAAAGAAAAAGAAAAATATTGCATGATCTCATTTACATGTGGAATCTAAAAAAAAAATCAAATAGAGTGGTTACGAGGAGTGGGGTGGGAGAAGAGGAAATGGGGAGATGTAGGTCAGAGGATAAAAGTAGCAGATATGTAGGAGGAACAAGTCTGGAGATTCATCACACACCATGAGGACTACAGTAATAAAATTATACTTATACGCAACTCATGCTAAATGAGTAGATTTTACTGCTCTTGCCACAAAGACCAAAAAATGGGTAATTATGTGAGATGATGGATGTTAATTTGCTTCATTACAGTAACCCTTTTTCCTATCCATATGTATCTCATAACATCATGTTGCATACCTTAGACATACACAATAAAATTCATTTTAAAAATAAAATTTAAAAAATAAAGTCGAACTTATAAAAACACAAAGAAAAAAAGAAAACTGCAGAGAAGCTGCATAGAAATAGTAAATCTTTGGGGATTCTGGACAGTTGCTAGTTTTATCAATTCATCTAATTAAATATATGACTTTTCCTGTGCATAATTGCACATCATTTCTTAGTATCACTTGATAATGAACAATCCTTACCCTTGTCATTTTACCACCTGATTTTATATTGAGATCCCCACACCTTTTGTGGCATTTGTCATTACTGCTTAGGCTCACTTCCTTCCTAAGCAAACATAAAATCTCTTTGATGAATAGCAGCAGAACTTCCAAGCCATCTAAATTAAGCTCCTGGGATGGGTCGGGCCATTCCTGTGGTGGACACTGAGAGGGCTCTCACACCAAGGACACACACACACCTGTTTGGACATTGTCCCTGCTTCCTTGACAGTGGGCTTCATCTGACAGCAGATCCTTGCTTCCACCCAGGACTCCTTTCCACATGTTCCCACTCTTGCATGTGAACCACTGACATGTACAATGCGTTCACAAATACTGGGCTAGCAACCTAACGGCTGGCATGGGATATGACATCAACGCCTTTGGATAATAACTGTAAAACTCGATAGCTCATTTTCTAACCTCTCAGGAGTACTTAGAGCCTAAGAAGCTGCTGTCTAGAGCAACAGACTTTCATCCTGATATTGGGCTGCTTATAGCAGCCATACAAAGAGTGAAGCACAGAGAATGACAGAGAGAAAGAAAGAGAAAACTGAGATTGAGAGCTGAGAGAGACATACACAGGGAGAGGCAAATAAAGACAACGTGGCATCATGCTTATAGTATCTGGAACACACTTCCAGGATTAATAACAAAAGCGGAATCTGTCACATTTTCCCACTGATTTGTCAGCTCCTTGAAGATCGCCTTTTGCTTGCATTGACACTAAGTAAAATTGATGAGGAGGAAAGCACTGTCATGCTGAACAGGCAGTGCTTAACTCATATTTGGTAACAAAGCACAAAAGACCATACCATAATGTCCTAAAGAAATCTGTTCCTGACATTGCTACAAGGATTAAAACAGCTGTTAATTTTGCACAGGTTTAATCTTCCCAAGTTCCTGCCTGTTACCTCCTTTTAAGTCACCTGCTTCTTGGTTTAAAGTATTTTGCTAAATTCTACACATCCTATCAAACAACCAGTTTTTTTTTTAATTTTACTCAATTTACCTCCCCTTCTTTCTCTTCTATTATCAGTTGGATGGCCTTCTAAAGTCATTATTTTCTATTAGCATTTTCTCTGTTCCTTTTTATTCTAGTCAATATCTACACATTTTGAAATATACAAATCTACAGTAAAATAACCAAAATAAACAAGTAAAAGCAGGCAGAACCTGAGCCTGATATTTCAGGTTGTTGCTTTTTTGTCTCTCTTTTTTTTTTCAATTCCATATATTCTTTTCTCTTCTTTGTATTTTTTCAAGAAATGAAATTAAATGCACTACAGCTCCTCAGGAATGAGTAAATTCAAGATAAAAGTTGAGTAACAATCTTTAGAAACAAAAATTTGTCTGAATTTAAAACTGTTAAGCTTCCATTTTTCCCAAACTAAATTGGTAAACTATGGGGAAAAAAGTAATATGAAGCAGTTTAACTTTTGATTTGAGTACAGACAACATGTTGGCTAATTTGTATTGATTATATCTGCCAATCTAGATGCAATCACACTTTTAAAAGCAGAGTCCTGTAATTTGCTTTTCTATAAAATGTCACCAATGCATTAAATACTTCGAAAACAGTCTTTGTAAATCAATCTGTACTTATTAGATTTATTTAAATGATAGCATTAGAATTCCATGCCGAGATTTAATCTGGTTTTAAAATAACTCCCTACATGCAGAACACTTCCTAGGGTGGGAGAGGCTAGTTCCCAATTATTTTCATGCCGTCAGTACTAAAAGTATTTAATGACTCACTTACCTACAAGCTGTGAGTTGCCTGAAGACCTCTCCATTCAGTGGGATGTACACATTTTACTTAAGGCTATTTTACAGGAAAAAAAAAAAAAAGGGAAGAGTGCAGAACCACAGCATTTTCAAATGAAATGAAAAATGAAAGATCTTACCTTGTTCGTGTCAAAGGTATTATAAACTTGATCAATATGTTTATTGGCCTTCTGATTCAGACCTTGCAGACCCAAAAGTGTCTTAAATTCATGTAGTGTTTGCAGGCCGGATGGATATTCCATCATAAATGTTCTGTACCACACATGGGTCTCTTGTGTAGGAACTGCTTTCTGATCACCAGCTATAGATTTGCCATTCCCCATCTTGACTCACAGTCTACAGCTTTTCCTCAGGTTGTTTTCACTTAAGTTTTTGCTGGATTTAGTCCCTTACTCCTCACTAAAACTGAAGGCTAACATATGCCCTCAGAAAGCTACTCTAAACCTCTTACAGCAACAAGCTAAATAAGAATAGAAAGCCAGTGAGATTAACTTATCTGCCCAGTTTTAAAACCAAGGTCACTTGGCACTTGGTAACTAACATGCTTACAGTCATGCAGAGACATAGTTTTTTGTGAAGGGAACACGCAATATTTTAGAGAGGGTGATCCTTGTTATATTGTTAGCCATAAATTTTGCCTACATTATTGAGTGGTACAGTGGGTCTAATGGCAGGAACTTTGAGTTGCAATCAGGAAGCCTAGATTCTATGCTTTGTTCTACCACTTATTAACTATATTGAAACATTACTTACATTCTCGTGTTTCCTCATCTGTAAAACAGTAATAAAAGTTTCTGCCTTTTCATACCTGAGTATTGTGAAGATATATTTAGATAACATTTTACATGAAAAAATCATACATTGAGTATTATTAAAAAGAAGTCTATGTATAAGAGAGAAAAATAGGTAAAGAGAATTAAATAGTAGTAAGAAGAACTTCAGATGTAGTAGTCAGATAAAGGAACATATTGGGCTGTGTCTTCTGGCAGTGTTCTTCCTTTCTCTCCCCCACCCTCTGTTCTTACCTTTTTCTGGTCTCTCAAGTATCTACACATGCCACTGGCCTGCCAGCTTTATCTCACTCCAGTTTTCTAATCTGGCTAATCTTGTCCTAACCAAGCCCCATTTGCCAATGAACTTAAGAACAGGGTCAATGGACCTAAGAACTGTATCCAAGGTCCAGTAGTGGAAATGAATGCTTTGTGTGGTCCTCAACCCATTTTGGTACCAACCATACTTAGAACCAGAAAACCCCAGGTAGAATATAATTCTGTTACCCCTAAATTATAGTTCTCCTTTTTTTTTTTTTTTTTTTGAGATGGAGTCTCGCTCTGTCCCTCAGGCTGGAGTGCAGTGGCATGATCTCAGCTCACTGCAAGCTCCACCTCCTGGGTTCACGCCATTCTCCTGCCTCAGCCTCCAGAGTAGCTGGGACTACAGGCGCCCGCCACCACGCCCAGCTAATTTTTTGTATTTTTAGTAGACATGGGGTTTCACCGTGTTAGCCAGGATGGTCTCGATCTCCTGACCTCATGATCCGCCTCAGCCTCCCAAAGTGCTGGGATTACAGGCACAAGTCACCACACCTGGCCTACAGTTCTCTTTTCTAACCTCACTCAATTCTTTCTTTTATTTTCATTTTGGCCCAGCTCATATATCTGGTCTCTGTCTTTGTCCCTATTCCTTAGTCCTGACTGATTACCTGTTTATTATGAAACCCTTGATTCCTAAGAAGTAGCCATCATGGCCTAAATGAACTGCCTTGACCAGAAGTGGTGGTGGTTACAGTGAATATGGTTAATTTTGTTTCAAACATATCAATGTAGACTCTCAATGGGACATTTCGATGTCATAATTAGAGTTAAATAAAAGGGCTGGGCACAGTGGCTCATGCCTGAAATCTCAGCACTTTGGGAGGCCAAGGTGGGTGGATCCCTTGAGGTCAGGAGTTCGAGACCAGCTTGGGCAACTGGTGAAATCCCATTTCTACTAAAAATACAAAAATTAGCCGGGCATAGTGGTGCACGCCTGTAATCCCAGCTACTCGGGAGGCTGAGGCAAGAGAATCAGTTGAATCCTGGAGGCAGAGGTTGCAAGTGAACTGAGATTGTGCCACTGCACTCCAGCCTGGGCGACAGTGAGACTCTGTCTAAAAAAAAAAAAAAAAAAAAAAAAAAAAAAAAAAAAAAAAAGGTGAAAATAAGGTCATAGAATGTAAAACTCACCCATTTGAACCCATTTGAAAGAATTACTTGAAACCATTAAAGTGAATGATACTCTTTTTTGGACAGTAAAAAGGACAAAGGGGAGACAGTGAGGACTCAGCCTCGGGATTATTCAGCTAGGAATTAGAGAAATATCCTGCTAGAATTTTCAAAAAGCATTCTTTGGGGAAGTCCCCTTTAAGACTGTTTCTAAATGTCTGCCAGAGGATGCTCAGAGGTGCTGACTTTTTATCACCATTAACATTTATTAATCACTAATTTTTAAATTAAAGAAAAAATGGATACAGATGATGGCAGAGGAAGGTAGTAAAAGTTTTCAAGGAGGCAGGAAAATCCTTTGAGGAAGGAAAACTTTGGATGGATCAAGAATATAAGGACCTGAGATCCAGAAACTGTTTCTTCATATAAATTCTACTTTAAAGAAAATTGGCCAAGCGCAGTGGCTCACACCTGTAATCCCAGCACTTTGGGAGGCCGAGGTGGGCGGATCACCTGAGGTCAGGAGTTTGAGAGCAGCCTGACCAACATGGTGAAACCCAGTCTCTACTAAAAATGCACAATTAGCCAGGCATGGTGGCACGGCACCTGTAATCCCAGCTACTCGGGAGGCTGAGACAGGAGAATCGCTTGAACCCGGGAGACGGAGGTTGCTGTGAGCGGAGATCGTGCCATTGTACTCCAGCCTGGGCAACAGGAGTGAAACTCCGTCTCAAAAAAAAAAAAAAAAAAAAGAGAAAAGAAACAAAAAGAAAACCTGCATAATGATCATTTGCTGATGCAGAAAAAAACTTTAAAATTATTTGTAAAATGAGAATTCTTATATTGAATACAATATTGTATTAAAAAATCAGGAGTCTTGCTGTATAGAACATTAGCCAGTCATAAGATCATGGGAAAAAGCCTTCATTCATGATAGGCTAAAAAATAAATCTAACTGCAATAAATATAACTAGGAATGTGCAAGATGTATTTGAAGAAAATTTTAAAATGGTACTGTAGGGTTCCAATGAAGACTTGAGGATATGCAAAGGCGTATCTTGGTCTTGGGTAGAAAGACTTACTATTAAAAACCATATCAGTTCTCTCTATATTAATCTGTATTATCACCACAAACCCCCATCTAAAAAAAAAATAGAATTTGAGGGATATTGGTGGCTACAAAATGTAATTCTGAGAATCAAGCACAAAAAATACACAAAAAATTTTGAAAAATAAAATTATTAAATAGCCCTACCAAAAACACCATGAATCTGGCATGAGAAAAGATGAAGCACTCAATGAAAAATAAATAGATTCTTTTTTAACTAGACTCAATTACAAATAAGAATTTAATATGCAATAAAGGTGGTATGGTAAGAGAGTAGGAAAGAACTGATTATCAATTAATAATTCTGGGACAAAGCTATGGCTATGTGGAAATGCACATACACACATACATAAACACAAAGGATTTCTAACTTACTTCTTACACCAAAATAAATTTTAGATGAATCATAGGTTTAACAATATAAATCACTATAAGAAAACAAAGCAAAATTGTTTTATAATTTTAGAATAGGAGAGTCCTCTCTAAATATGACCATAGAAGCCATAAACAAAAGGAAATTAAATCGTAATCTTTAAAAAAATCCCAGATGACTCAAAACACCATAAAAACAAAAATAAAAAGTTTGTTAGAAAATATCTGTAATATATATCATATAAAAAAGATAATATCCCTAATGCGAAGATAGTTCTTACAAATCAATAAGAAAAATACCCACCACCAAGTAGAAAAATTGACAAAGTCCAATTTAAAAATCTGAATGACTTCTAAACATATGAAAAGATGCTCAATCACACTCAAAGTATAAGAAATGTATGTTCAAACTACAAGGATATACCACTTTTCACCTGTTTGATCAGCAAGATAAGAAAGTCTGGTAATCCACCAGGTAGGTGAAGGTGTGAGGAAAAAAACTCATACACTGCTGTAGGAGTGTAGACTAAAAAAATTTTTTCAAAGTGCTATTAGGCAATATCTATTCATAATAAATGTATATACCCTTTGATCCAGCAATTTGTTTGCTGAGACATTTGACAGACATAATTGTACATGTGTGAAATGAACAAATTTATAAGGATATTCAAATGTTGTGCATATGTAAATCCAAAAGAACAATAAAAACCTAAACATGCATTGATAAGGAAATGGTTAAACAGATTTAGTATTTCCATTGAATAAAATAATAAGGAGCAGTTGAAGATAACGAGAGGTTATCTCATTAGCTCTCTATACATATGTATTATTACATGTACTGGTCTCAATATGGAATGATCTTGAAGGTATATTGAGTGGAAAAAAGCAACAGCAGCATCTTTTGGATGCTATTACATCCATATCTATAGCTATATCATGATATATATGGTTTTACAGATATTGATTGGGGACAGATTTACGAGGAACTGGTAAAAACATGCCTCTTGAGAAGAGTACCTAAGTGGCTAAAGACAAAAATGAAATAGTTTACCATATTCCATTTCCCATGTTCCAGGCTTTTGCTATGTGCATATACATAAATTAAAATTATACAGTTTCACAAATGAATATTAAATGTTTTACTGTTTTTGTCTAAAGTTTCAGACATTTCTAAACAAAAAAAAAACACTTATCAAGAAAAGTGTAAAAACATACTTCTTTACGTATATGTAAATGTAAAACAACAATTTTTACATATGTGTAATATGTATACATATTATGCTTAGGAGATTTATTCTTTTACTATGACTAAATAATAAAATTATATAAGCTATGTCTCAAAGTTTTGGGGGGATTTGTATTTTCTGCTTGACTGAGTGTTGGCTATAGTGGAGAAAGGGCATAATGTCTTTCTTTTTCAATATCTTCAAGAGGAGGTGATTCTGTAGTCCTTCACATATCGATTTTGAAAAAATCTGCTTTTAAATGTTTTTAAGGAATAACAAAATTACAATAACAATCTTTTAAGGAATAACAAAAGTTAAGCTTGAGTGACATTTTCATTTTTTTCAGTAGCTCACATGAAAATTAGAGAACTCTAGATATTATTAATATTTCTGAAAGAAAAGGAAGATTTAGATAATTGGATTAGGGAATACATAAATTGTAAATCGGTCTCCATTTCTAGAGTACACAATTTTCTTATTTGAAAAAAATTATTTCTTATTTCTTATTGTTAAACAGAATAGACTTTACAGTAACAACAACAAAAAAGAAAAATTTTTAAAAGAATCTTCCAATTTTCTTATTAGCATTTTTTAAAAGGTAATACCATCTCTGACTTAATTTTCCGAAGTCTTTTCATTTTTTTCTAAAGGGAGTCTATGTCTTGCATCTATAGTTACTTTATTTAAATTGTTCTGGAAGAGAAGATTATCTTCTTTAAGCAAAGCTTCTAAATAAGTGTCAGTCTGCTCCAGGTCACCTTCTGGACCACCCTGGAAAAGAGAAGCAACAGTCACACCAGGGAAAGAAGCTGCAGAGCTTATTCCTGTAATTTGGGCAGCCTCCTAACAGTCTTCCCTATGACTCATGCTGCAACAAAAGCCACCTTACATTTGAATCATGCTTTTAACCTTTCAAAAGGTTTTCTCATTTAATGTCATTTTATGCTAACAAGCGGTTAGAAACTTGGTTCATTTTTTTTATTCTGTAGTGGAAGTTAGTACAACTTTTTTTCTCTTTTTAAAAAATTACTTGCTATATTCCTAAAGCCTCCTCAGTCTAATCTCATCCTTCTTTGTTATAGACTGTAATCTCCTATTTTTAAAATTAATGAATCTTTAGCCTTGTAGGCAAAAACAGACAAGTAGCCAAATTTTGTCTTCTTTGTTTCCTCTATTTCCATTGCAGCGTCTTTTCCCTCAGCTCTTGGCTTACTACCCTGGTCTGTCTCCTGTTTATCCTCCCCTTCTCTCTTTTACTCAGCTCCCTACTGAGGCGATTTCATGCTCTCCTTTCCTGGACTTCTTGATCCATGGAACAGTTAGACGTATGAGTTGGGTCTTCAAAAAGTTCATGGAAAATGCATATTATGAAAAAACTACGTAGGCATGGATTTCAAAAATTTTGAACAAAAATCAACTCACACTAAGTTGTTATGACATATTTGACCAGGATCTAGTCTGAAGCACTAAAAGGATAAGATATCAGTTTGAAAGCAGCCCCTATCAGAGCAACATGAATTCTGCTGCAATTGAAGCAAGAACATACATCAAATTTATGGTGAGGCTTGGGTGGAAGAATGGTAAAATCATTCATGCTTCATGAAAAGTTTATGGGGACAATGTCCCCAATGGAGAGCCTATAACAGAGAAGGATGAGATTAGACTGAGGGGGCTATAGGACTATGGCAAGTAATTTTTTAAAAAGAGAGAAATCAGCAGTTAACAAATAACAGATAACTTAAGAACAGATGAGATGATGTTGAAGAGGAAGCTAGCAATGTCAGACTGTCCACATCCCTTTGCAAGGAAAAAGTTAATCTTGTTCATGCTCTAACTGGAGAGGATGGATGATGCTTAATAGCAGAAACAATCGCCAACACCACAGACATCTCAAGTGGTTCAGTTAACACAATTCTGACTGAAAAATTAAACTTGAGCAAACTTTCCACTCAATGGGTGCCAAAACCATTGTGCCTAGATCAGCTGCAGACAAGAGCAAAGCTTTCAATGGAGATTTTAGACAAATGGGATCACGATCCTGAAGGATTTCTTCAAAAAACTGTAACAGGAGATGAAACATGGCTTTGCAAGTATGATCTTGAAGACAAAGCAATGGCTACCTAGAGGTGGAAGTGGTCCAGTCAAAGCAACAGTGGTCGGTCAAGAGCAAAGGTCATGACAACAATTTTTTGGGATACTCAGGGCATTTTGCTTGTTGACTTTTTTGAGGGCCAAAGAACAATAACATCAGCTTATTATAATGGTGTTTTGAGAAAGTTAGCCAAAGCTTTCACAGAAAAATGCCTGGGAAAGCTTCATCAGACAGTCCTCTTCCACCAAGACAATGTTCCTGCTTATTCCTCTCATCAGACAAGGGCAATTTTGTGACAGTTTTGACAGGAAATCATTAGGCATACACCTTATAGTCCTGATCTGACTCCTTCTGACTTCTTTTTAAAAATCTTTAAAAAAAAATCTGTAAAGGGCATCCATTTTTCTTTAATAATGTAAAAAAGACTGCATTGACATGGTTAAATTCCAAGGACTCTTAGATCTTTAGAGATGGACTAAAAGGCTGCTGCCATTGCTTACATAAGTGTCTTGACCTTGATGGAGATTATGTTGAGAAATAAAGTTTACATTTTGACTTTTAACTTTTAATCCCGTTTTTCCATAAACTGAGGTCTCCTTGAATGTTCCCTCTTGGCTGACTGATCTAAATCTCATTCCCTTGGGCCCAACTATGGGATCAACTAACTCTCCAACTGAACGAACAGATAAGAGGATTTTTAGGAAGGGCCTTTCAGAAACAATCCTAGCACTAAGTGTCTAGCACCATTAACCTCGCCTCTGCATCTTTTCTCTGGTTCCATAAAATATGCTTCAACTTTACTCCCTCTACCACAGATTTGCTCTAACAAGGCTGAATTTTACTGAGTTCCAGCTTGGTGACTGGGACACTGTTCCTACAGATGGATTACAATGATGTTGATATTTACCTTGACTTCCAAATATTCGCTGACCCTGAAGAATGCCCTGTGACCCTGACACAAAGCACTTCTCGTCCTGTTAGATATAATCTCATCTTTTGGCTATTATCCTCTGCCTGGTGGAATAAACTTCTTCCAGGATGCTACATTATTTCCACACTCGGCTTCTTCATGTGCCTGCCCCATCTCTATCTGCTCTGGGTCCCTCATCTCGATTCTCTGCTGTACTCTACGGCAGTGGCTCTGGCAACCAGAAACTGTGAAATAGAAATTTCATGTGGGGCGATGAGAGTAATACATTTGGGCAGGAGCCCTTTGAGTACCTCTCCACTGAGATTAGGCAAAAGAGTTTCATACTCTGCTGGCTGAAGCCCTTAACTTGCCTACCAAACTTTGTGAATACAGCAAATTAAATTAGTATGGTTACTCTGGCTGCTGCTTAAGAACCTAGAGGTTTGGCAGAGAAGGAGTAGTAAACGATTATTCTTTCAGTTTTTCTTAGCCTAACGTGGATTTGCTATTATGAAAGCCAATTATTTTATAAACTTGTTTAATAGTCAGGAAGTGGTATTCAATTTCTAGGATACATAATTTCTTTGGTCTTTCTAGTTTACTTGTTAGTGAAACAATAATCGTCACTGAAACACTACCATGTGCTAGGCTCCATACCAGACTTTTAACACATGAAAACATTTGGCATTCTTCACAGCCACAAGAACCAAAAGGAGCTCTACTGAAATCCTACTCTCATAGCAATAAATAAACTAGACAAATTGGCTGAAGTGGTATGGTTGATAGAAGCGCAAATACAATTACCTTTATATAAAAATTAGCATTAAACATCTTTCTAAATTTTAATAACATAACATTTTAACTGTTGCCTAGACCATCAAAGGGGAGAGGGACATCTCTTTTGGCAATATACTTAAATTAAGCAAATAAAAAAAAAAAAAGCTTTTCTGCATTTTGTTTTGTACTTAATACAAGATAAATTTCAGATAAATTAAAAATTTTTTTGAAGTGGGAAGGGACTCCCACGTTTAAATGTTCACAACCAGGAATGAAACCCAGGCAGCCTGGCTTCAAGGTCCATGTTCTTCACACATTATACAGATATATGTATGGCGAGTTTCTTGTCTCTCCCTAGCCTTTTCAAGGGCAAGGCAATCCTCTAGCCAATCCTCCATAAGGGTCTCAGTTCTTGTCCCCTCACCTTGCATGGCCCAGGAAGGCTCTGTCTCCTGTTCCAGCACTCAGGGCCTATATTTGAGGACAAAATGCCACAGGCTCCCTAGGCTCACTGTTCTGGCTTGGATTTCTCAATTTATTTCTAGAATCCACAGGAAGACTTTCAATCCTGACTACATATATTTTCAGTTTTGTTGTATTTTATGCAACATTTCCATGTGCTATAGAAGATGGGCTCTTCCTCATCAGTTCAACCTATCACATAACTCAATTCTTTATGCATTGAAACGTACAAACAAAACTGACAGTAATCCATACTTACATGATGTTTCCTGACTTCTCCAAAACTGTCCTCTAAGATTAAGAGGATTTTTATTTATGCATTAAAATAAAAGTAAAGTAAAATATTTCGCTGTCTGAAAAAACTGAAAAAATTACCTACTGGTCACATGTTATTAAGGGGACACCAAGGATGATCATGCTATACCAACAGCACAAGCAAAGATTCTGAACTAAGATACAAAAGAATGTGTGCCTGTAGTTCCAGCTACTCGGAAGGCTGAGGCAGGAGGAATCACCTGAACCCAGGAGGCGGAGGTTGCAGTGAGCCAAGGTCGCGCCACTGCACTCCAGCCTGGCAACACAGCAAGACTCCATCTCAAAAAAAAAAAAAAAAAGATACGAAAGAACACAGAGTTTCTAAATGTTCTAATATATGCCTTCACAGTTCATTTATTTATGATTTCAAAATCCTTATGCAGAGAGTAAGGGCTGACTTAAGTGACTTGTCCAGGTCAGTAAGTGAATGACAATGTTAGGAGAAGTTAGCTGAGTTCTCGTTCCATAGAGTCTACTCCTACTGCTCAAATACAACTTTTTCACTCACCAGTTGGAGTTTCTGCAACAATAGTGCCAGTTTTATACGAAGATTCTTCAGCTTATCCTCAGAGATTTTTCTTTTATTTTCACATTGCCCCAGAGAGATTTCATTATGTATTCCTCTTGTATTTGAATCATAGATAATGGACTGCAATTTCCTCTTTATTTTTTTTTCATATTGGACCATGTAAGTATTCTGTATCTGGGAATGTTTTAAAAACAGTTTTAGCATGTTTTTAAAATATTACTTTCCCTCTAATATCACTAGACAATTTCATATTCCAACTCTGCCTACATGTACCAAGTGTCAACTTCGTAGGTGGTCTAAATTTAGGAAATATTGATACCCTTAAGGAACTTACATACACTCTGATAGAAGACTAAGAGAGAAGAGAAAAATGTATAATATTTCAATAATTGTAATTATAAGGAGGAAAGAGACACATGACAGTGAGCTTGGAGACCTTTGGTCTGGAATGAAGAAGAAACCTCGTAAAGGTTGAATCTGTTCTCCCAATGGCGATCACCAGATTATTTAAGGCACAAAGTGAGCAGGTGCCTGTGACTCTCTCCACAGCACCAGTAATTCACAGGCAATGACAGAATGGCCCACCACTTGGGGCTGTCTGGCAGATGATGTAGTGTTACTTGTAAGGCAAGGCTGTAGCATCTAGAAAGCACAGAAACTACAGAAAGAGGAATTCCTGTTCTCACTCTCTTCGGGTTCCTTATCGTGATACAAAAAGTACAGATAGTTATGTATATGACCCTCATTAATAGAAGAATCTTGGTTGTTCTCCAAAATTTCATGCTGTGCCTGAGGCACTCATGAAGCAGAAAGAGGTAATGGAGAGGCCAAATGCTTCAGTTTCAGAATGACATTAATTGCTTGTATAAACATTTCTAGAAGGCCAAGAGATATTCTGAGAAAAGAGATACACGGCAAATCCCATTTTGATAAGCATTTTGATGTTTATGTAATAAGGAGATTTCTGCATTCTAACATGACTGGGTTGCCAAGAAAGTTGTAAGGTAGCCTCATTTGTCTTTTGGGCCTACCCTTCCCTTTTCAGACCCTCCACTACGTTGACTATGTGCAGACCCTTCTCTGACATCCACATCATCTCCTTTAGCATTCGCTGACCTCACGAGTTTCCCCTTTTTCTACAAAATCCTTTAAACAAGCAAACAAAAATCCCTACATATAGGAAATTCTGTTTAATAAATATTCACTAACTAGTTCCTAACTCGAAAGCACTGCATTTAATTATAGATGACGTGGAGATATATAGGGTACAGTCTTTGCCCTCAAGAACTCTCTAGTTCACAGCATGAGATAATACAAATGTGCACATAAATCTTATGGAACATAAGGACCTTGTGCCCCCAAGAAAGGCACTAAATAGCAGGGATTCAGGACAGCAGATAATGCAGCACTCACAGCAAGGGAATTTCAAACACATGGGTAAATCCTGCCTTGAAATCCACGCCACATTTCAAGATCCTGGAAGGGAATCCACTTTTGAACATCTTTAATTCAACCTAACAAGTTGATGACTTACAACTAAGGTAACCACCACCTCCACCAGGAAGCTTCATAGATGCTTCCTATAGAGGCTGCAGGCAAACCCAGGGAGAGATATCTACTGCCTGAAGGTGGAGTAGAAGGAATAACTTAACTCAGCTGGAATAAGGAGGACAGTGTTACATACAGTTCACCTGTCACTAGCCACTTAATTACAGTTTTCAGAACTCCAGAATTTTATAGCTTTTGCCATGCTGAATAACAGTCAGAAAACACTTTTTTCATAAAAATAAAAGCCACAATAAAATAAACCAAAACAAATCAAAGATAAATATCAAAAATGGCAAACATTATGGAAACATTATTTGAAAAAACAATAGTATTGCTAATCAGCCATCAAAAGGAACCTGCTATTGACACACTTAAATGGACCCGAAGTGACGCTGAATAAATAAAGCAATTGTCAAATGACACACACATATGATTCCATTTCTACAGCATTCCTGAAAAGACAAAGCAATAGAGATGGAGAACATATTAGTGGATGCCAGGAGTTAGAGGTAATTGTGGAAGGCCTGAGTGGATATGACTATAAAAAGGTAGCATAAGGGAGATAATTATGGTAATGAGAATTCTGCATCCTGATTTCAGTAATGAGAATTCTGCATCCTGATTTCGGTAATGGTTATACAAACTTCCATGTATGATAAAATGACATACAACTATACACACACATTTTACCAAATTCAATTTCCTGGTTTTGATATTGTACCATAATTATGCATAATTATGCACTGGGGAAACCGGGTGATGAGTACACAGGACCTCTCTGTACTATTTTTGCAACTTCCTATGAATCTATAATTATTTTGAAATTGAAAGAAAGAAGCAAAAACAAAAAGCCTCGACACTATTAATACGAGATGAGACCAAGAATGTTTATATAGTACACTACAAAGTCATATTCAGTCTCTGAAAGTTTACCTTTTAGTAACCAGTAAACTACGTTTTTATCAAATTCTACAGGCCAGCCTTTTGGTTTATTCTCTTGCCTTTCTCTCCAGGAGGTTCTGCTAACCTCTCCAGGAAGTTTCTATGAAAGGTAACACTTTTGACAACTTTTCAAGCTCAGTGTAAAAGGACATCTAGTTGTACTAGCTTTTTTGTGTGTTAACATTTTAATTAAGGTGAGAAAATAATTGTAACAAGATGAGAGGCTTAGTTCTGCTGGTTAAACCCACTCTTGTAGAAGTATCTGCAGATCAAAAACCAAAGTCTTTCCGAACTACATTAATTCAGAATGGAATTAGGATTTGAAAGAAAGGATATTTAACTGAGATTTTAATTTTCTACCTTGAATTCAAAGAGTAGGAGCTCTAGCAGTTTTGCAGCTCCAAAATCCTAATGAGTTTGTGCAAAGTAAGGAAGGCCTACAACATCTATAGATTTTGTACCATACAAACAGGAATATTCATTTAAGTGTTTATGTTGGCAGTCACTAAAGCAGAAACAATCAACTTTGATTCAACACGTAACTATTAAGATCCAGATGCATTCAAAGGCACTGGTTGAATGCTGCTAGAATACAGAGTTTGATGACAGGATTATTAACTTCAAGGATTCTATCATCTAACTGAGGAGAAAGTGAAATATAATAAACTATTATAAGATAGAAATGTTAACTAATGCTAAAACAAAGTTTTAAGGTTCTCCCAGAACACAGAGAGGTCAAGATTAATTTCACATGGAAAAACTGAGAGTCTTCATATAAAACATAATATTGACCAAGCTCAATGGGGAAGGATTTCAAGAGGCCCACTGTGTATTGGGAGAGTCGATAGGAGTATTTTGGGGAATATCAGGAGGGGAAAGGCTCAGAGGTAGACCAGTGTAAGTAAGTTGGAATAACTCTGGGGCACTCATTTTAGATGGAACAGAGGCCTGTGAGGAAAGAATAAAAGATAATGGTTTGAGTCAGGTGATGCAGGACCACCAATGCTATTATGAATCATCTACTACTACAATAGTAGTTATGAAAACCACTGTTGTGACCAAAGAAGCCAGTGACTTATGTAAGTTTCTCCCGTGCTTTGATGTGGCTCTCTTTATTAAATGCACACACCTTAAATCAAGTTGTTCTGTGTTTTGCTTACAAGATCTCATTTCAGTAGGAACTGCTGGTCTCCTGACTGTTTATCTCGCTTTGATTTTTTAATCCGACTTGTCCTGCATGTTAAGGGGATACTGCTCATCATCTATGCTAACTCTGTTCACCCTGAATAAACACATGTCTTATTCACTCTGGCTCCATTACTAATGGTGTAGACATTGGAAAAAATATTTAGAAACAGATATAAAACGGTATATATAAGCTTGGATAAACAGCTGTATGACAGTATAATTCTTAGCAAATTTCAAAGTTTTACAGTGCATTCAAATCAGAGTCCCCTAACCAGTAAGTGGAGAGCTACAGGAAGATCCAGGAGCCTTACAGATAAGCTCCTCAAGCTGACTGCCACAGACTTTCGGTTGGGACAATGAATTCCTGGTGGGCCAATACGCCAACCCATCTACCACACATACCCCACAGAAATATATTACTGTCAGCATCTCCTCAATATATGTCTCATGATGTAATGTCAGGTCTCTAGTAACTTAAAAATAATTTTTCTACACCAACAGGCTGAGAAGTTGTAATATACTTATTGCAAGTAATACATGTGACCTCTATCACAAAGATGAAGTATTCAAGTCTGGATGAGACTAAGATGAAATAGCCAGGTGTGGTGGTACAAGCCTGTAATCCTAGCCACTTCAAGGCTAAGCCAGGAGGACTGCTGGAACCCATGAGTTCAAGATCAGCCTGGGCAATGTAGCAAGATCCTATTTCAAGACAAAAACAAGCGACACGAAAATAGAGGGGGTGGGCAAAAAAAAGTTGAAAAAAAGTAGAATGAAAACAACTTTGGAGCGGGAAAAATCAGGCTCCAGTTCTGAATCTGATCATGACACTGGGATATTATCTTTCTGAATCTCTATTTCCTCATTGCTAAAAGAGATAGTGGTACCTACCTACCAAAGTTGTGAGGATAAATGTGTTAATATAGAAAAGACCTAGTTCAGTGCCTGGCAGCTCTAGTGGCTCCCAATCAATCAATCCCAGTTTTACATTATTGATGAAAATAATATTAGTGGTAGAACAGCATCAAAATATATTGAAAGTAAACTTTGTCTTTTATTCTTGTTAGGAAATGTTGACAAGTAACTCTTCAAACTGAAAATGTTCAGTTACTGCTTTTACAGCAAAATGTTATTCAAAAAATAAATTCACTTTTCAGTTGAACAGTAATGGGAGACCAATAATTACACCTCCCCTTTTATTTCCAGTTGTTTATCACCGTCCAGTTGATAGAAACATCAAAGGCAAACGTATGAACAAGGGTTGTTAAATTTAGGCCCAGTCTGAACTTTAAATACTGTGTGATACAGTCTTTGTAAGAAGGAATATGGTTTAGGTTCTACTTGTCAAGTTTGCCTAGTTGTATGTCTTTTGGGAATTTACTTCACCATTCTTTTTCACTTATAAAACAAGAATATTCAGATGTCTTCCATTGTAATTGCTTCTTGGACTTTTGGCTAAGATCAAATGCAAAGGTACTCCATTACCTATAAAAACTATGAGGCAGTGTCTCTGCTTAGAGTCATTCTTTGCACAACTCCAGGAAGGGCCAGTCACCTCTCAATCTTTACAGATTTTCATTATATGAGAGCTTTCTAAAGATGGCTGTAAACATAAGCATACAGAAGAAGATGCTAATGGATGCACTAATATGGAGCTAGTGATTAGGTGAGAAAGCACAGGTAAAGTGTCAACAAAGACCCAACATTTCAGTATTGATCCTGGTGTCAAAGTTCTTGACTACTCTGGCCTGTGCGATGAATCTGGGAATCTTCATGGCCATCCTGGCTCCAACATTCATCCCCTACATCAGCTTGGCCAAGTTCACATCTTGGAGTACCAGGGTTTTTTTTTTTATTATTAAGTGTAAAATAAGGGATTTGAGGACATATGATTTTTTGAGATACTTCTGTAGTAGAACTGAAGGGCACTCTGGACTCTTTCTCCCCCAGGAAATCCTTAAGGACTAGATACACAGCATTATTTGATAACTGTTAAAAAAAAATCTACCCAGAGGAAGAGAAAGGTTGTAAGGAAATACATAAAAATATTAATATCAGTGATCTTGGAATGGCTTGAGGCTATGGATGAATTTTTAAAAATTGCTTTTACTTCTTATATTAGCATTAATTACTTTTATGTCTACTTTTAGAATGGAAAAATCACTAACTTAAAAACTATTGATAAGGTACTTAAAAAACTCAGAGCGATATCAAATTGTTGGAAATAATTTAAAACTTTAAAATTTCTGCTTCAGTCTAGCATTTTGAGGATTCGGTGAAAATATTTCTTTAAAAGCTCAGAATGTCCTGTTTCCTATTCAAGATACAGTCCTACTCCAAGTGTTTCATAGCTTTATGTTATAGAAATGTTAGTATTTTAAAATTCAAAAATATGTTGCTTTATGACACCTGATAAGCTATACATTAATCTAAGTCTCGATAAGTGAATGCAAATTTGATTTCCTTTCAAACCTAACATTTGGAAATGTACATTATTTATCCTTTCGAACACAGGATCATTTAGAATATAAATGGTGATACTGAAAGGAAGCTTACCTGGTTGAAACACATTTTCAGCTTTTTGTTCATCTGCTCTGGGCACTGCTCCAGCTGTTTTCATAAATGATAATAGAACAGGATATTAGCTTTTAGAGAATGTGCTGTCTACAGCAGAGTTATATCACACAAGCATTGAGTATAAAAAGCATCAAAGCCTAGAACTGGCCAACATTGGTACTATGGGCCTTTTAAGTCTGGGTCTAATTAAATTAATTAACTAAATTATACTTTGCTTCCTTCCAAAAAAGGATTAAGTCAGCTTACATAAATGAATACAGCACAGTTAAAAAATTGTGCAGATACAAAACTCAAGGTGAAGGAAAATTAAGCGATAAAATAATAAATATTCAAAGGGAGATGTCGAGAGCGCAGCTGGAGTCTGGGTTTCTTGGAAGGGAGTGTCAGAGAAACAGATGGGGAAGTCACTGGCATGTGGGGGGTAGTATTAATATTTTAAAGTTAGAAATTAGACGAGGTTACCTAGAAACAGCATTTAATAGAGAAAAGAAAGTGGCCCAGGAATGAGCCTTCAGACATGCCAACATTGAGAAACCGTGTACAACAGGAGCTGCCACAAAGAAGATGGGAGGGAGGAAAGCAAAAAAAATAAAAATAAAAATAAATAAAAAATAAAATGGGCAGTGTGCAGTCACAGGAGCTACACAAAGAAGGTGCTTCAAGAAGGTGAAAGTGGTCACCTAGGTTGAAGGCCTCTGACAGGTCAGGTAAGAGTGACACTGCACTTATCAAGAGGTCACTGGTGGCCCTGACAAGAACAGTCATAGTTCAGCTGTGGAATCAGAAGCCCCACGGGAGAGGATGAGGTGAGAGTAGAGGGTAAAGAGGCAGAAACAATGATTACAGACTAGAAAATTAGGGATTGTGCCCAAGATCAGACTCATATAGTCCCTCTGTTGCATTCATAATTTGTGCTATTTTCACCAATACCAAGTGTATCCATCATCTCCACAGGCAACACCGAGCATGGAGGTGGAGAAAAGGCCTCCCACCCTCCTGCACTAGGCAGCTCTTCCCTCCACTTCTGCTGAGCAGCTTGTCAGGCATGTGCACCTCACTCAACTTCACCACAGCCCTGCGGGAGCCCTTTGTAGACTACTCACTGTTACTTAAGCATAGCCAATAGATGTGAGGCTTACTCTTTGCACCCCAAGCAGCTGTTCAAAGTTTTCTTTCCAATCACATCTGGTACTGTTCCTGAGAGGAGATTTGGTAAACACAATTTTCTTCATCTATCTCAGTGATGTCTTGGTGATTTCGGTAAGATTAGTGCTTTGGATACCTAATGTGCCTGACCTACCCAATCCTCAGCTCAGCTGCTCATAAGAAGCAGCTGAGGAGATGTATCTAAGGAACAGAAACTCTGTTTTTGGTGGGGGAGAGAGAAGTCAGGGACTATGTCCTGTTTCTTTTCATCTCTGCAACTATCTGTCTGTAAGATATTTTCCACCTTGTTTAACTCACAGCCACAATAATTTCAAATATAGCTTTAATTATGAATCACCATTTGGTATAAAGATGCTCATCTTTATTCACTTAAGCCACTCTAGGTCCTCTTATTGGAAACACTTTACATTTTTCTTCACTGAGATTCAGGCTATTCTATCATTCCCTCACAGTTCCAAAAAAAACCAGCTTACCTCACAACTTAATGCAGGTTCTTCCAATTCTGATGGTAGCTGATGCTCAGGAAAAAAATACAGAAGAATCTCCCTAGGAATACAAGCACAGCAGATATGGGAATATACTAGGATAACAGAGGTAGCACTCAACTGTCAGAACTGGGTTTGTCTCCTGGGTATTAAATATCCTGGCAAAGATGAACATTAGTTCCCCCCAAACATTTTGTTTTTATCACTGACATCAAAGTGTTCTTCAGAAAGCATAGACTGGGGAGAGGAAGGTGGGTGTGGCTATAAAAAGGCAATAGGAGGGACCATTCTGGCAAAGGAACTGGTCTGTATCTTGACTGCATCAATGTCAATATCCTGATTGTGATTCTGTTCCAGAGTTTTGCAAGAAGCTAGGTGAAGGGTACAGGGGATCTCTCAGCATTATTTCTTACAACTTAATGTGAACATACATTTATCTCAAAATAAAAAGGTTACTGAAAGAGGAAGGAAGGAAGGAAGGAAGGAAGGGAGGGAGGGAGGGAGGCAGGGAGGAGAAAAAAAAAGAAAAGAAACCAGCCAACCTCACAATGCCTCGCAATCCATGAACAACCAGTCCAGGAAAGGCCTGTACCTAGTTGAGTGTTCTCTTCTGCAGAGAACTCAGCATTGCAAATTTCCTGGAAGAAAGTAGGCTGACTACAGACTTACTGACTTTTTTCCTGAGAAAAACCAAAGAGTTTAAGTCTCCAGAGTAATTTTTGCATAAGGGACTCCAAGACTACTCTTAGAAATCATACATGGACCCTGCTCTTTCTAAACAGTGGTGGCCATTGTTCTGACAGGTGCTTCATTTTGTCAAAGGACAATAGCACCCATCCTTCTACTGTGACAGCTTTTCTAGGATTAATCACCTATATGACACATATTTCATTCCTGGGAGAATATGAGATCTAGAAATTTACAGCCACCACATCTTAAAGTGTATAGTATTCTAATGCTGACGTATTCCAAGAGCCTCATGTATATTATCTAAGGGATTTGCAAAATTTTTCCAGTTGTAAAATAATATGGTATACCAAAGAGAAAACAGCTCTTTCTTCCACAATTTATATTCCCCATACTTTAAGTATATTATTTGTATTAATACATATTTATAATTTCAAGGAGATTCAAACCGAAAAGCTGAAAATTCTTGGCATTGCCCAAACATTAAATATGACATACAACACTCCTTAGAGTTATTTGTCTGGCTAGCAAGAAGATAAATGGGGTAGGAACAGGATTTAAAAAAGGTGGAGCAGCTTCCAGGTATATGAGATGAGAAGAAATCATATGAAAAGAAAAGTTGCAACAGGAGTTCCTGGGAAAGAACACCTGGGTCAACACTACGGCCGTTTTGTTGGAGCAGGAGGGGTGAGAGACCTTTTACACAAACTAAACCTTGCTTCTCCTCAAATTCAGGCTCCCTTTCCCCACCACAGGCTTGAAACCTTTTCAGAGCATTGGTTCTTTCCATTGTGAGTATAAATTCTTTTGCCTTTAAATTTAGAGCAAATCAGAAATCCCCTAAGAAAACGCTCTTAGACAAATAAATATTAGATGGCAGCATTTACTAGGGAAGGGGAAAAACCAAAGGAGAAAATTGGGGTGAGAAAAAGTTCTGGATTAGTTCTCGATTACTTTCAATCTGTGGCATCTCTATTTCAAAATCTACAGCAAACATCATCTATAGTCTGAATACTGTCTTACACATGTACTATTATTTCTAAAATTAGACACATAATAGATATCTTTAAACACGATTTCATGTTTACTGAAATCACAGTACCTTTTGCCATTTTGCATTTTCTCAACTCATTAATTCCACAGACATTCTTTAAACCTCTACTAAAACACCTTTGACCTTCAGTGCCCCACAGAGCCTGGCATCATGCCCCCATGCCAGGAACCCAATACAATCTTACTGAACTGATTTGGCCTAGTGGGGCAATAGAGACAAGAAAGCAAGCTATTCCAATACCATGTGATAAATGCTTGGAGGACAATGAGAAAGGTGCACCATGGAGACCAGAAGAAGGGGTTCTAACTCATATTTCAGTAGTGATAAAGGAAGAGTGGGAGTTAGCCAGGTGTAGCAGATGGGGGCATGTGAAGGAAGTATTCCAGGCCACCTGCACCATACACCAGAGAATTTTGTATTTTTCTTTGGGAAAAAATCTGACCAAAAAGTTGGTCAGATTCAAGTATTTTTTCTTGGTGTTTTTTTGTTCGTTTTTTGTTTGCTTTGTTTTGGTTTTTTTTTTTTTTTTTCAGACTGAGTCTCACTCTGTTGCTGAGGCTGGAATGCAGTGGTGCGTGATCTCAGCTCACTGCATCCTCGGCCTCCTGGGCTCAAGTAATCCTCCCAACTCACCCACCTGAGTAGCTGGGATTACAGGCGCACGCCACCACACCCAGCTCATTTTTGTTATTTTTGTTTTAGAGATGGGGTTTTGCCATGTTGCCCAGGTCTCAAACTCCTGGGCTTAAGTGATCCACCCACCTTGGCCTCCCAAAGTTCTGGGATTACAGTCGTGAGCCACCGCACCCGGCCAATCCAACTATTCTTTATAAAGTACTAGAATTGTGCTAAGCACTGCTATCATTTTCTACACATAGTTTCATGTAATCTTTATGGAAACTCTTTGATTGAGGAATTATTCCTATTTTCTCTGATTTCCTGGCTATTACAGACACCCCCACCCCCCCACCAGGCCCAAGCAAGTTCCCTGGACCCTCCTTCAGTGTCTGTCTCCCTCCTGGACTCCCTGGTATTGAGCCTTTCACTCTCTTCCACATCAGATTGCTCCTAAATAGCTTCTCCCTTGGAGATTCTGGTCTGTAAGACTGACTAGAGAGGAAGACAAATTACCCAGCAACTTGCAGTCTCTAAACACAAACACACAGGCCTTTCCATTTTCCTGTAAAATTAATTCAGGAAAGCAATTAGATTCTGTAAAAACCTATAGGATACCAAAAATCACATACGTAGGGTCTGATTGTAGATGCTTAAGAACTCTTTAAAAATTACTTCAGTTTTATTGTCTTGAGTCCCTTTCTTGAATGATATTCTTCAGCAATACTTTCTTTGCTCTTGAGGGTACATCTTATCAAACCTCTCTCTATCCTCAAACTTGAGATTTCCCCTAGAACAGACACAGTGAGCCAGGAATCCATAAAGTACATTTAAAGGTGGGCCAGGAGACACGAAGCACAAAATTATAGGAATAAACCTGGATTCATTCACTAGTATCCACTGCATTAAGTAGATGCACTTGGGGCAACTCCTGAACCAAGTGCTGCCATTTCAATGGGACTTTTGTCCCACTTAGGAACAGGAATAGTCCTTCTCTTGAAGCATTTACTCAGAATTTTACGCCCAGAGTTGATAATAAAATCAGAAATTTGTCTTTGTTTAACATTGTCTTTCTTCTCAAGAATTCAAGAAATAAATATCTTAAAGATATCTTCCAAAGTTGTTACTTTCATTCAGAATCTTGGCTATGAAGCCCATCTCAGATGAATTTCTGTGGAATCCACATCTATATCTGCAAGTTTGAATTCAAAGTTTTTAGAGAGTTTAGTTAAGTGAGCTGAACCACTAAATCAACACCATCTCTACAAATTATGGCCAAGCTTTGAAAAGTTCCAGCTAAGGGCCATTTCCATTTCACTCCATAGTCATATTCCTTTCTCAACAAAATAATTTTTACTAAGAAAAATCTTTGACCCATGTTGATACAACTCTACTCTTTCTAAACATGGTAGACATGGGCAGGAGTCCATAGAGTTACCTGGTCATCCAGCTGTTCTTTTAAACAATAACCTAGTTAATTAGCTTAGTCCTAGCTGAGGAGAAGAGCAAGCCTCCTACTGGAGGTTGACCAAAACTGTCTTCCTTAACTCAGTAAAAGACTAGTATGAAATGGAAATGGCACAGTTGTAATAATGTTTTTTGGCAGACCTCAACTGCTAGTATATGTATTTTCATGGCCTTTTCCTTTAACAACTGGCAGAAATGTTAAAAAGTTACTTTCTTTTTAAAACTTTTTTTTGGTATTTTAAAAATCTAAGATAACAAAAAGCATGTTTATATTTTATAGAGATGAAATAAATGGAGTCTGCCTTATCAAGTTTACATACACAACAATAAACCAAAACAAGGCATTACATTTCAACAGTTAAGAGCAAGGACTGTGAGGTCAGATTGCCAGGGTTCAAATCCAAGCTCTGTCACTTAAGTGTTATATAATGCTAGGCAAATTACTTATCCTCTACATGTCTCAGTTTTCTCATCTGCAAAATGGTGATAATAAAAATATCTATTTATAGGATTGTTGTAAGATGACTGAGCTATCATATGCAAAGCCCTTAGGACTGTGCCTAGCATATAGTAAGTGCATAACAAATATGTATTATTACTAATATTATTGCTATTATTATTATTATTGAAAGAGATTTGAAATGTAATACTACTCCAATGTTTAGGATCATCTGATAAAATTTAATAGTCTGGAACCAGTTCAGCTTATGTACCACTAACTTAACACCACTCAGTTGCACTCCAATATTTAAAAGTATTTTAACATCCAGTAATACTATTTACTGCTTTTTACATGAATCCCTTTCAATTAAATTAAAAGTATTATTTAAATATATGCTGATATATGTTAGACATACTGTTGACAATTCAATCTGTTTTCAAAGATGTTACTTTATTTGGGAAGTCAACAAACTAATACACAAAAAGCAAGAAGTAATATAAGACAGGAAAATGCCTGACTGAGCATAATTAGGTAATGAGTATGTACAGTAAAAACTACATTTTTAATTAATTGTTAGCATTAATTACACAGAGATGGCCAGACACTACCTTGGCATTGTGGAAATTGATAAGGATGACGTCACGTCCAAAGTGACCCAAATGGAGGGAACACCCTTTATACTTCAAAGGTCTCTAACTACTACTCTTTTTTATCATGTGACAAGAAAGGTAAATATGGTAAACAATTCTGAGTATTTCTTTATACTTTATACCCTTTACATTGTACACAGCTGACCACAATCTTCATGCCTTGAAAAACTAAAAGTCTAGTAAATTCAAGAAATTACATGTGGACCAGATATAAAATAGCAAATAATACTACAAAAACAACAACAAGAAAAACAACAAAATACCTTACAAAGAAAACAAGAAATCTGTTTTCACTGGTGAAATTTGAGAAAACATACTACATGTTGCTGAAAGCAAAAGAGAAAACTGGTATGACAAGGAGCTCATTTTGTTTCAGTTAAATCCTGTGTTCTGTCCAAATTTTTTTATCATAGAATATTTTTAATAAAATAATCACCATACAAAATTTAAGCTGGTACAGAATAGAGCTGATATATTAACGCATTCAGCTTTCAGAGTGCTCAGTTGGTAACAGTATGATGATTCTAAGCAATAAAGAGTCTGCCTGTTCATTAGAGTTTCTGGGAAATTTTAATTTTCTAGTGATGCCTAATGATAGAAGTGGATGCAATTTAAAGTCTTAGTACACTCAATCAGATTATCCCCTTTTTGATCACATGTAACTCACTAAAATTAATAGAAATGTTACACTTAGACAAATAAAAATTAGCCAAGAAAAAAAATCAGGAAAATAATGAATTTGAAAAAGAAAGTTGATCTATCTGAAAAAGAAATTTAAGTAGCTATGCATCCAAACTCTGCTGCAACACACTCAGACAGGTCTCTCTAGGTCTCCTAGTGTGAAGAGAGGGTATATGCTATATATGATTAAGAGCATGGGATTCCAAATCAGAAAGCCTTGCCTTAAACCCCAGCCCCATCCTTCATATTTGTGTAATTGTCCATGAGACTTGTAATGTGTTAGTTCCTCCAAGTTTCAGTCTCCTCATCCATACACAATATTTAAAAATAACACCATTCTCATGAATTTGTGAGAATAGAAACTAATTTATAAAAAGTAAGTGGGTGGATGCCTGAAATATAATAAAGGTTCAAACCTGATAGCTATTATTGTTATAGCTATTATTGTTACTATTATTTTTATGGAGACAGGGTCTTGCTATGTTGCCCAGGCTGATCTCGAACTGCTTGTTCAAGCAATCCTCCCACCTTGGCCTCCCAAAGTACTGGGATAATAGGCATGAGCCACGGTGCCTGGTGTGATAGCTACTATTATTAAGAAGGCCTGATTCACTTGTAGTAATGTCCGAATAATTGAACATGTGGTCATATCTATACATTTTTAATGATACTCACATTTATTCAAATATATACAGGCACATGCATATAAAATTTACTGTATACTACTATGCTTTAGTGACCAACCAATAGGCCTGAATTTTAGGACCAGTAACATATCAGGGTTCAAATTTACAGCAATCCAACTTCAAAGCTGAGGACCTTAAATACCACTTCTAGAAAAATACAGGCAGAGGGTGGGAAACTAGTTAGAGAATCCCATTCTTTAGGGATTATACTGTAAGCTACAGCAGTATAATACTGACATCTATCTAGATCATTGGATAAGTGGCTTTTTTTTGAGATGGAGTCTTGCTCTGTCACCCAGGCTGGAGTGCAGTGGCGCGATCTCAGCTCACTGCAAGCTCCGCCTCCCGGGTTCACGCCATTCTCCTGCCTCAGCCTCCCTAGCAGCTGGGACTACAGGCGCCTGCCACCCTGACTGGCTAATTTTTTGTATTTTTAGTAGAGATGGGGTTTCACCGTGTTAGCCAGGATGGTCTCGATCTCCTGACCTCATGATCCGCCCACCTCGGCCTCCCAAAGTGCTGGGATTACAGGCATGAGCCACTGCGCCCGGCCAAGGCCTTTTTCAACCTTATAATGCCTGAACCATGCTGAGGTCTGGCCTGCTTTTGTCCCATTTCCAGGCTAGTGGAAGACTGCCAACCAGACCGAAAGGGATATTTGGTGGTCAGAACTTGGTGTTCTGGAATGTAGCAGTCTGTATTCATTGCTCCATCAACAACTTGTCTCTGGATCCCTAGTGTCAGTAGTGAAAATAGATCCCTCTACAAGGTCCTTCCACATGTAACCAGGAGTGCTTCCTCCCTCCTGGGGCAGGACTGGTGTTAGGCATGAGACAGCAGGTGGGGTCTTCATGCCCATGTAGTAATCACAGCCCTGCACTCTGGATGCTGCTACAAAGACTTTCACCACACCCATGGCATCTGTGGAATTGAGTTCAAGTCTACTGGGGTTAGCAGTCTCCTCTCATAAACAGGACCACAGCCTGGGCCTTAGTAGAGGCTACAGTCCCTATGTACGTGTTCTCCTCCACCTTTCTCTTTCTTCCTACCTGCTTCTACTGTTTGAGAACTCTCATCTTCAGGAAGATCATGTCAATCACTGACGAAAAAATCAAGTAGCTATCCTAAGGAAAAATACCATTCCAGGTAGGGCATGTTGTTTGTTTTCCCTGGCCCGAGCATCTCACCCCACACAAGACCCTTAAAACCCAACAAAAGTCTGTGGATCCCAACAAAACCAATGAGGTACATTAATTTAGTGGTGCTACCAGCCCCACCTCCCACCCTCCCATATGGCACCTATTTTAGAGCACAAGTCTGTATATAGACTTCTTTGACTTGATTTTAAGGCCCCCATCTATTATCAGTCTCTATTTGGAAAAACCCTGAATCATGAACTTTTTCCTCTCCTTGTCTCCATCCTTTGAGAAATGAGACCCAGACATTTAAATTCCTCAAATACCATGTCCACAAATGTTAACATTCTACACAGAACAAAACAAGTAAAACTCAATTTCCCTCAATAAGTTCAGTATCCAAGACTAAAACAAACCAAAAAAAACCCAGAGTTTTTAAAAGGCCATACAATGTCATAAGAGCCTTTGTTGGGGAAAAAAGAAAGAAAATTCAGTAAAAATTATTTATTACATTCAAGAGAAGACTAATGTCCACCATACTGCCAGACTATGTAACAACAGGCAGTTACCAGTTCTATTACAAGGGATATTTAACCCATAGTATATCTAAATCAGCATAGTTAGGAGACAAGTCATAATGTCACTCTACTGAATTTATTCAGTATCATTAAAACTCAGTAGGGAAAACAACAGGAGTTGTCACTGCTTAGAAAGTTAAACAAAGCATGTGGAAATATGTGAGTAAATATCTTTACCTTAACTTAGACTTCAGTTTTCTCACTGTTTCCTTGACAGGTGTGCTTTGAGAAGACGCTGGCGAAGAAGCAACTTTACAACTGCCACTCACAGAAACTCTGGCTATGTGTCCAGAACTTAGATTCACATCTTCCATCGGCACATTGAGCAAGCTGAGGTTTGTCATTTCAAAGTAGAAATCATGTTAGGTATTAATAATTTCAGAAACACTAATATACAAAAATGAGTGAAATGTTCATATACAACAAATGAGAACAAGAACATGCGTGTAATGCCGAAAACTGCCACCACTGTAGTTACATGAAACAAATTCTTAATTAGAAGAATTTATATTTATTCCAGTCACATATTTTTTTCAAAGTTTTTAGGTAGTGACAATTAAATGGAATTGGTGATAATTTATTTTTAACAGTAGTCATATACTACTTGTCTTTCACTTGATGAAAGAGACTTTTTAAACCTGTTAAACAACTATACAATATTTTTTGTAAGCCTCATGGTAACCATATGGCAAAAATCTACAATGGATATACTTAAAAAGCAACAAATTAAAACATACTGTAACCAAGTAGCCCCATTTTTCTAGGAAAAAGAAAATGAGTTACTATTATTTTTTATTTTCTCTTTTCTCCATTTCCCCATTCCCCACTTACCTACATAGTCCTTTAGAAATACAATTATAACCTTTTACCTCCCCTTCACCAGAAACTCCCTAGAGGGCAAGTTCATGTAACTTTATGCTTAGAAGCTCCAGAGTGGAACTTTCAGCCACCAGGAGACTGCCTCCAGAGGTAACAGTTGATTTACAATCCAAAGTCCCACTACGAAACTCTCTCCCACCTAGAGAGTTTTCAGCCACCTTTACAACCTATTTCTGCCCATGAAATGCTAACTCAACTGCCCAGTAGATAAGGCACCAAGCTAGCATGGGGACCCACACACCTGCTCACCTCCTCCCCTGAGGTGCCATTCATGATAGGCCCCCTTTAAAAGTGTCCACTTTCTGCTGCAAAGGTGAAGTGGTACCCTTAAGGCAGGAAGCCCATACTTCTTCCCCTAAGCTAGCTTTGGAATAAAAAGTCACTTTCTTTACACCAGACCTAGCTCTTGTTAATTAGACTCTGCAAGCAGTGGGCAAGTGAACCTGCGATGTGGTTACAATATTACCAGAAAAAATCACTTAACTAAGAATGCAAGAGACTTTTAAACTAAAGTTTATTTTAGCCTGAGAGAAAAGCATAGAATAAAACAGAAAAAGAACAAAGTAAGTTGAGAGAAATACTTAGTCATGATCTGGAAGAGGAAGAAGAATGTTCAGAGCTACTGGGCTGGAGTGAGCAGGAAGCAGATGGAAAGAGATGAGATGAGAACGGTCAGTGTTGGGATTGCAGGGCATCGTGGGCATGGGGAGGGAACTAGAGTTTCTTTGAAGCAGAGTGGGCACTACCATTGGAAGTTTTCAGGCATGGGAACAAGGTGATCTGATGCAGGTTTTAAAAAGATACATGGCTGCAGCATGAAAAATAACTCACGGTAAGGATGTATAGTTTGTTGATGAGACTAAAGCTTTCAGTACCATAGGGGGAAAAAAGTACAAGAGTCTGGGGGCAGTACGACATGGGAAATGGAGCTGGGGAGGGCAGGTAGAGGTCAGATCATGAAGGGTTTTGTTTGTCAAGTAATAAAAAGATTTTTTTTTGTAATCCTTTCATGCTGATGTCCATAAATTAAGATCACAGCTCTAGAGAATTTTACATGTTTATAAGATGAGGATCTTTTAAAATTGGATAACAGTTTATATCAAACGGAATGTGCTTCTACTGTCAACAGCTCTTTGGCATTAATTATACTGTCTAACTTTGCTGATTTTTTTAAGATTAAGAACATTATATAAACTAATGCTTAATTGCCTGTTAAAGAATATTTACACAATGTCTGAATGCTCATTAGTTATAACCTTCTTTATGCTGACACTTCATTAAAGAAGTCTTTTTCTTTAACCATTTTAGGGATGTTAAAGATTCATTCATGTTGGCATTGAGGTTGAAGGGTAAAAAGTACTATACTAGAGCACAGGAGATTCCTCTCTAAACCTCTGTTTCTTGTTCTGTTGAATAATAATAGGGCCTACCTTATAGAGTTGTACTGAGGATATACAAAGAATGTAGCTCAATGTTTAGTGTAAGTGGTCAGTAAATAATACCTATTTTTGTTGTTATGATCATCTTTATCATCACCATCATTAGTAATGCATTTGATAAGTTTCTTCCATTAAGATTGTTTTTCCCTAGAAGAAAACCTAGGCAATACCATTCAGGACATAGGCATGGACAAGGACTTCATGACTAAAACACCAAAAGCAATGGCAACAAAATCCAAAATAGACAAGTGGGATCTAATTAAACTAAAGAGCTTCTGCACAGCAAAAGAAACTACCATCAGAGTGAACAGGCAACCTACAGAATGGGAGAAAATTTTTGCAATCTATACATCTGACAAAGGGCTAATATCCAGAATCTACAAAGAACTCAAACAAATGTACAAGAAATAAACAACCCCATCAAAAAGTGGGTGAAGGATATGAACAGACACTTCTCAAAAGAAGACATTTATGCAGCCAACAGACACATGAAAAGACGCTCATCATCACTGGTCACCAGAGAAATGCAAATCAAAACCACAATGAGATACCATCTCACACCAGTTAGAATGGCGATCATTAAAAAGTCAGGAAACAACATGCTGGAGAGGATGTGGAGAAACAGGAACGCTTTTACACTGTTGGTGGGAGTGTAAACTAGTTCAACTATTGTGGAAGACAGTGTGACAATTCCTCAAGGATCTAGAACTAGAAATACCATTTGACCCAGCAATCCCACTACTGGGTATATACCCAAAGGATTATAAATCATGCTACTATAAAGACACAATGCACACGTATGTTTATTGTGGCACTATTCACAATAGCAAAAAAACACTGCATGTTCTCACTCATAGGTGGGAATCGAACAATAAGAACACTTGGACACAGGGTGGGGAACATCACACACGGGGACCTGTCGTGGGATGGGGGGGGCAGGGGGAGGGATAGCATTAGGAGAAATACCTAACATAAATGACGAGTTAATGGGTGCAGCAAACCAACATGGCACATGTATACCTATGTAACAAACCCACACGTTGTGCACATGTACCCTAGAACTTAAAGTATAAAAAAAAAAAAAAAGAAGAAGAAGAAGAAAGAAAGAAACGATCACCCAGATCAAGTTATGGGACATTTTCACCAGCCCAAAAAGTCGTTAAGGCCCCTTTCCAGTCAATCCTCACCCATTCCCACTTTGGCAATCACCATTCTGATTTCTATCTCCATGGATTATTTTTGCTTCTTCGTGAAATTCACATAAAGGAATATACTAGTTTTGGTTTTTTTTTAAATGCAAAAAAAAAAAGATTGTTTTTCGTGGACTGTTTCTAACATTCATATTGTATTTACAAGTCAACAGTGATTCCAAAAAAAAAACAATCTCATAAAGACCAAAAAGTATTACATGAAATAATATATACATGCATACACACACCTGCATACACACAAATGTGTTTTAGTTTTTGGATGATTCTTAAATTGTAAAGCAAATTTTCATAAATAATTCTAAGTCAAAGTATTGGCCATGAGAAGACCTGGCAACAGCACTGGGGAAAAAAAGTTACATCACTTATTTAATCAACAAATATTACTGAGTGCCAAGTATGAGTCAGTGTCATTCTGGATATCAGAGACACAGGGATAAGCAAGACAGTCCCTACTCTCATGGAGTGCATTGGCATCTAGTGAAAAATAGAGAAAATAAGCAAGCTAAAATTAAAAAATGGTAAAAAGAAATAGGTGGTAAAGGAGATACTTTAAAATAGTAATACACGCTTTGAAAAAAATAAAACAGGATGATAAAAGTGTGACTTGTCAGAAATGAGATGGGCTACTTTAGATGGAGTTGTCAGAGAAGACCTTTCAAAAGCTTAGAATTATGAAGAAGACAAGAAGGCCTCTATCCTTTAGGAACCTGTATGCAATGGGAAGACAGAGATTCAAACAGATAACTTCACTTGACTGTGATCACTGCTCACCACTGCATGTCAGATCACAGAATTTAACAAATAACTACGGAACAAATTACAATATAATCTCATCATTGCAACAGTGACTCTGTGAATACCTGAGTTTGGTGAGGAGAGTCAAGGAGACCCTAAAGAAGGGAACACTTGAACTGAGACTTAAATGAAAGGGTAACTGACACTGGCATATGAGTTGCTGAGGGCATTCAAGTAAAGGAAGTGGTACAGACAAAGGGGGGATGAGAAGATGTAATAAAAGAGAACTACTAGTAATTTAGAACCCTTTGGGAAGCAAAGTGGGGGCTAAAAGTAGAGGCATGAGAGAAGAGGATCTGTGCCATGCTAAGGAGTTTGTGACTTACCTTAAAAGTAGTAGGGGCTGAAAAGGCTTTGGAGTGGAAGAGTGAAGTGATGAGGTTTGAGTGCTGGATTGACTCACTACCCTGTCAGCAAGTGCAGGAAAATAGCCCCTCTCTGTTTTTTCTTGCTCTTAATTCAGTGTGCTCCTATGCAAAGAGCACAGGATTTGGATTCAGAGAAACTGGGTCTGAATGCCTGGAAAGCAGCTTAGATGGGTTTGTACAGAGGATAAGAGTTTGCTTCCTTTAAAACATTCTTTTAATTCTATTGGATATCCAAAACATTCAGCTGATTTCATTTTAAAAGTGATAAAATTCTCATGTCAAAAAAATTCTAGCACACAATGATTATAATTACATGTATGTATGACAATAAGATAATGAACCACAGAGAAAAAAAAATCAGTTAATGATTTCATAATCATACCTTATATATGTGTGACATTTTCAGTTCTTTGACTACATTAAAGTAATTTGAATTGGTTACTTGCTGTGGGTAGGAAGTTAAGCCAGCTCCATTTCATTATTTCCAGTTCTTCACGAAAGAAATGAAAAGGTTTGGGGGTAAGGTGTATTGCTAATTCTTTCACATCTCTGTTGTAAAATTTGGTTCCATTCTTGATTGCTTTTGTTGCTATTATTTCCTTTCTTCTTGTATTTAAACATTGATAATTACTTTTCAGCAGGATAATTGCACTCACTTGGAATTTGTATAACTGTAGTACACTCACCTTTTCCAGCTAGGTAATGAAGAGCTTCTTTTCATTGCTAGAACATCATTGCACAGCTCCTGTTTTTCTTCAAAAGAACATAGACAAACAATCGCATTTGGATGATCACACAATAAACTGAACCAAAAGAAATGTTAGCAGTTCATTAACTACCTCTGTATAATATGGATTTGTATTGAAACATCCATTTATAAAACTGTACCAGTTGTAACGAGATCTATAATATGTTCTTAAGGTAGTTTATAATGTTTTAAAATAAAGTTTATGTAGTATATATAGTTATCCAAGAGAGTGTAGCTTTTTTTTGGTAATTTTTAAATGGACATTTTTTACCAGAGCCTGGAGTATGATCAGAACTGTTGATTCCCTGCTTTCACCAGCCTCTACCAAGACAACCATCTTCCCCCAATAACCCACTCTCTCCTATTTGGGGTTCAGGTTCAAAGACATTCTGACAGATCCCGATGAAAAATGTGTCTCCAGTAGGAAAGTGAACTTTAAAGCAGGAAGAGACCTAGAGTCATTTAGTTAGTCTTCTCACTCAGAGGACCTCAGAATTATAGGTTCACAGAACTTGGTGATTTATTTCCAGCTCACAGCAAAGCAGAAATTCTATGATCCACTTGGATTGTTTTAAGAGTGTCTTGGGGACAGTATAAGCAATGAGTCAATGTGTCCTTCTTCCATGTAGAAGTCTTTATTACAACTGTCCAGATATCTTGTTCCACCAAGTAAACCTTTACCAAGAAGTTTAGGGTTATTGAAGGCTAAGTAGAAGAGGACATCAACAAGCAAAGTTCTAGATGGTGGGTAAATGGCTGAGGATCTGCCTGACCCTTTTAAGGAAAAAGAATGAATGGACAGATGTTTTCCAACCATGCTGTAGGCACCATTGGTTTTACTCACTGACTTGCAATGCAAAGTGAAAATTTTTAACCCAACAGCTAACTAATTCAAAATAATAGTCATTTGAAAACATTTCACAATTTGTTCCTGCCAAACCTAGGATGAGTATTTAAAATTAAATATTAATTTTAGGATAAAATTGTATTAGCAATTTTTCTAGTACAATTTGGAAATCCAACAGAACCATACTTGAAGTCACAGTAGTAGTTTGAACTGTCTATAAAAGATTGGCTTTAAAATTAAGACACCCTTACAAAAGAAATCCTGATGGTGGAATTGCAAATTATTGTAATTAAGATGAAAAAGAAAAAGTGTGATTTCTTAGGGACCTCACTAATGGGTTCAAACATAAAGTTGTGAATGAATAGCTGATTAGGTTACCTAAGCAACAAAGTATGAAGGAAGGAAAAACGTGCCACCAAAAGAGAACATAAAACCATGGCATGGATTGATAAAGAAAAGGATTGGGAATGATGAAACCAAATGAGCTGAGACTAAGAAGACTAAGATCTTTAAAACTTATTTCAAAAGAAGATGAAGACAATGAAAATAATGGATGTGTTTCTTGGGTCCAATGGTATAATATCAAAATTAAAAGATAATGGCATAATAACATTAGAATGCATAATAAAAATTACAGTAATAATAATGAGCACTAAGAAAATAAAATATTTTGAATCCAGTTTGTTTTCAGCTTCTCTATCCACAGAATTATTACTGGATTGAATACTATCAGATGGAAACTTCATGCCTTAAATAAGTTCCAGTCTTTTACCTGAGACACATTACATCCCCTGGGCATGAAAAAACTAATAAATGTGTTTGTTGAACTACTTTTAGGGACCTCAGAAGAATCACGAAAAGCAGAAAGTTACTAAAAGATGAAAAAACGGGGACTGTCATCATCATAATTTTCAAAACAGATTTTGAAAATTATTGACCTGATATCAATCCTAATCAAAATTAGAAGGAGAATTCAAGACAGAGAGTGGCATAAGTCTATGGAAATTTCAGGCAGTGTGGCAGTGCTGGGGACACTGTCCTCAGCCAGAAAGTGTCTCTCTGCCCCGTCAAAACACACAAGGTTGGCAGCTCACCCTCTCTCTACTCCTCTCACTTCTAGAACAACAAACTTAATTTTTTAAAATCCAAGTTGCTGACAAACTTCTGATCTATATATCAGGCTGTCAAGCCATATTGAAAATGTCTCAAACATTATAGCTAATATATATATATACATGAGCTGATTTTTTTTTACCTTGGTTTAAAAGAGGAATTTCCTTTTTTTCTTGTTTCAATGAAACATCAGTGTTGCTTTTATCTGAAACCTGAAAAACAAGCTCTTTATTTAAAACTGTACAAAAACATAGGACATATTATAAACTTGACAAAAGACCTTGAAAAGCAGTGTCCCCAGCAGAAAAGAAATCATAATGTTAGCAGCAGTAAAGCTATGCACTTTTTATAAAGGGAACAAATGGTACATGTACAAAACGATAATCGCATAAATCTCAAGGATGATTGCATTATCATAGTCATGTTTACTCATTTGATTTCTTTAAAGGGATTTTTGTATTTCTACTAATATTTGTGCAGATATTTTAAAAATTGATATTACACATTGATGTAACAATGTCTACAACAAATGGGTCAAGTATTTGATTCACCAGCAACAACCATTGAGCCTCTATCGTTTTGAGGAAGCTTAGGGTACCTCTGGTTGCTGCAAAGCAGACAGAGTAGGAGCTCAGCATCCCTGCAATGAAAACTTTGAAGAGTTTGGGGCTGGGGCCTGTAGTCCCAAAGCATAATAGATAAGAAGATGGGGAAAGGGAGTTGACCTGGAATACTGGGGGATGGGATATCTCATCTTCTGACAGAATCCCAGGCCAGTTGCCTGAAAGGGGCTGCAGAGCCTTAGTGTGTTGATTGTTGGAGCCAGGAGGGTTACTGGCACCTGGAGAGAGAGGATGGATATGTGCTGGTGTGCGATTGGGAGGCTGAGAGGGTGGGAGTGGATGGGGGACATTTGAGGGGTGGAATGTACCATTAATAAGCCAGGTATATCATCACTTTGGGAATCCTGTTAAGATCCATTTTACAAGGCTCACATAAAGCTGACTTACACTTTGGGAATATACCTTAGATGAGAGAGAGAGAGAGAATGTGTCTGTTTATGCCTGCGGGGAAAGACACCCAGAATGCTCCCTCTATGTATTTTGTAAAACTGTGAGAAGCTGGAGGAACAGGCAGTTATGAAAGAAAGAAAATGAAGAAAGCAAGCAGAAGGCAAAAGCTCCTGTCTGCTCCTTGTTCCGAAGACCCCTGAACACGCACTGATACGCACGCAACCATGTCCCCATCTGTTACTTCATGTAAGATAGGGAGCTGTCAGGTTTTTTGAAGTTTGCTCATTGTGGACATATCTTTCATCTTTCATGCCCTCTCTAACCTGCTAAACAAATGTAGTCTAGAGAGGATGTCAACTCTCTTTTTTTTCCCCTCCCAGGAAATAAAGGAGTATTTTTACGTAGCATTCTGGAAACTGTGCTCTCTCAGGAAGCAGGTTAAATGGGCACATGTGTAGCCTAGCAACAAAATAACTGTGTAGCTGCCTATCATTGCCATTTTCCATTTCACCTAAATCAAGAGCAAGAAAAGCCTTATGGATAAGGGGAAAATAAATAAGACTACTTCTAAGCTACTTTTGTCTATTTCAAAAAATTTTTGTACTTAAACTGTAAATAAGTTCCTGCCCCAGGAAATAATAAACATGCATATTTTTAAAGATTCATTTTGAAAAAAATCTTGAAAGTGACCTTAAAGTGTATGTTTTATTTACTTCTGATTAACATAAAATTTAAAGTTTTCTTCTGATGCACTGATATATAAGGAAAATCTACATGATATTAAGTGTCTCCAACTTCAGACTAAAGACTTTTCAGACCAGTTTATAAGCAGCATAGACTATTATCAACAACAGCTAATAGGAACCACAAGATAAGCTTATGAGAGGAACTATTTAATGTCTTTTCCTATAAGCACTTTGTTATAATCCATGATGATTATAACAAAATGTGTTAATTTTCTTTGGTAACTTTCTTTTATGATGAAATCAAACAAGATGAAAGTATCCAAGGTTAATGAAAATGACAGCACTCCCAGAAGAGAAATTTTGTTGTTGGTTTTATTAATACAGCCTCACGAAATTAATTATGTTTGTATTCTATTGTTTAGTTCTCTGCTTTGAGCTCTAAAGGGCTGTTTTTCCTAGGATCAGATATGCCTTCTTTCCCCAAAAATGTTACTTGTACAAAGCTCTGCCATCTCTATAACATGAAAAATTTCTTTTATTTTCCTTTGCTGTATTATCTTTATTCTGATGTTTAAAAGATTTTTGGATAAATGATTTAAAGCCTACAGTATTTTCTTTGAAATAACATTGTGTAAATCTGATTTTATAGGATGCTGCCTTCTATTACAATATAGTTGAGGGTCTGAATTTTTTCAAGATGAGACAAGAAAACAGACAGTTGTTTTTTCGATTATGTTATTTGTATATTTGATCTTACTTACAAAGGTCTTTCATTTACATTAATTGGTTTCCTTATAGAAATGTTCTTCAGTCACTTAGGCTTAACTGTGTCTCATATTCTGAAGCTGGAGGAAATCTCTTGCCTGAGATTTTTACCTATATCATGAAATAGACAACACCTCATACAAAGTAAATGAGATTATAGCTAAGTCTTAACATAGAGTTTAAGACATCTTAATTAAAATTATGTTAACAATGAGCAGGATGGGATTTGTCAGTTCTCCAAGGGATGTGATGGATCAACATAATACTGCATGCTCAATTTTGTAAAGTATCTACTTAAGAAGATAAATAAATCATAAATAAGTCAGAGGAAAAAAGAACACGCCACAGGCAGCTGTGCAACACCTATTTAATTTCATTGCTGTTAAGGAAACTTAAAAACTGAGTGATATCACTTTATCTGATTTCTTTACTTCTACTCCTTTACCTCTCCACACCTACTTCAAGCACTTATTATTATGAAGGAGCCATAAGGACTATAAGACCAGTAAATACCTTTCTGCCAACTTCAAAGACCCCTTCTGTTTGCACTCGTCCACAGTTAACATTATGTTCCAGGCCCTCCCCTTCAGTCAGTAATTTATTCACTAACATTGGGTTTCTAGTGTGGGCCAGATACTACCACGGCGAAAAGTTCGAAGTCCTGCTGATATGGTTTGGCTGTGTCCCCACCCAAATCTCATCTTGAATTGTAGCTCCCATAATCCCCACCTGTCATGGGAGGGACCTGGTGGGAGGTAATTGAGTCATGGGGGCGGGTTTTTCCTGGCTGTTCTTGTGACAGTAAGTCTCATGAGATCTGATGGTTTTATAAAGGGCAGTTCCCCTACACATTCTCTCTTGCCTGCTGCCATGTAAGACATGCCTTTTCTCCTCTGCCTTCCACCACGATTGGAGGCCTCCCCAGCCATGTGGAATCTCTTTCTTTATAAATTATCCAGTCTCAGGTATTTCTTCATAGCAGTATGAAAATGGACTAATATACCTACCTTTATGGAACACATTTTCTACATTCAATAAATAAAAATATAAATAATATACTGTCAGGTAATGGAAGTTCTGTGAAGAAAAATAACACAGGTGAGAGAGAGTGATGCAAGTTCCTGCATAATCTGACCCCCCCACCTCTCTGTCGTCATCTCACATCTCCATCTGGCTCTTCAGAAGCTCTTTTACAAATATGCCAGGCACACTCCTCTCACGTCTTTGGCTTGTTGTTTTATAGACTTGTTTGTTCCCCCAGCTTTTTCCTAGTCTTTCCTAAGCATCCACTCAGTGGGGCCATCTGCGGTCACTCTACCTAAAATTGCAACTCCTGTTCATCACATGCAACACAGATACTTCCTATTCCCTTCCCATGCTTTCTTTTTCTCCCTAATACTTGTCATTATCTACCATACACCATATTTACTTATTCATCTTGTCTATTGAATGATCCCCCAACTAGAATGGAAGCTCTGCAAAGGCAGGGAGGATCGTCTGTTTTTACCCCTGCTGGATCCCTATTGTTTAGGACAGTAACTGATGTTCAAGATAGTCACAGAATAAAAGAAAGTAAAAAAAAATCAAGTCATGAAAATACATGTGTGCTGCTGACAGTGGTGATGGGGGTGGTGTGGGTAGTGGAGTCCAGGTATATGAACGACAAAGGAAAAGGCTTAGGTTTATGTTTCTCTCTTTCTCTCTCTCTCTCTCTCTCTCTCTCTCTCAACTGTATTATTTTTCTTCACAGAATTTATATGACCTGATATTATATTACATATTTATACTTTTATTTATTTAATATTCCTTAGGGTACTGGAGGCCAACAATGGTCAGGGTGGCTACAGTAGACTAAGAGAAGGAATGAGCAGTGGGGTCTGTAGCCTCAAAAGACATCAGGCCAGGACATCTAGGGCCTTGAGGGCCACAGCAAAGTCACTGAGTTTTGTTCTAAGTATGAGCAGAAGCCATGGAAGTGTTCTGAGTAGGAGAATGACATAATATGACATATTCTGGATGATATACTCAGATTTTTACACTGTAGAGGCCAAGAGAAACAGTAAGATGATTTATAGGAGTACCGCTGTAGTCCAGGTAAGAGATGTCAGTGTGTTGGCCAAGGTGGTAGCTATGGAGGTGGTAGAATATGTTCTATGTTTAAAGGTTGATTCAGCAAGATTGCCTGATGGGTTGAGTGCAGGATGAGAAAGGAGGAGAGAAATTCAGGATGATTCCCAGGTTTTGGCCAGAGTAGCAGTGAATGGTGGTATCATTTACTCAGTTAAGGAAGCATGAAGATATTTCTTGGAATTCTTTCCTCTCTTGATCTTCATAGCCTTCTATGTCTCAACTCTCTCTGGGTAGTTCATCCTTTTTCTGTCTACTCTCAACTTCTCAAGGAACCTATTAAAATTTCTGGAGTTAAGCTGTCACACTTTAGGCAAACAATGGCTTCATCGGCATCATCAACCCTAACTTTTCACCTTTGCTCCAGTTATTTCCAACTGATCTCATGACACACGTGAATGTCTTGCTGAAACTTCAAATCCTCAGTCCTATCCAGTCCTATCTTTGACCACTTGGTCAGATTCCCCATCAATGCTCTTCATTCTATTCACAGTACTGTTTTTGTTCCAGATTGCCATCTCAGAACTGCTTTCATTATTTAGTTTTCCATATTTCTTACCAAGCTGTACTACCTTTCTTTTAAAATTGCTTAAGTTTTTCTTGTCTTTCTATACTACGATTTTCAGGAAGCATCCATCCTACGTGTTTTTGTTGGTCTTTAGTTTCTCCTTTTTACAGTCCAAGCCATTATCCCAATCTGATTAATTTTTTTAAACAAAATATCCATGATTAAGTGTTCCTTCTTAAAACCATCCCTAGGCCCTGCATGCTACTATCTCAATCACAAACTCTTTATCTGTCTTTCAAAGCTCTTTTCAATGTGATTCTAAGTTATCCAGACACAATTTTAGTATTTCTTAACAAATATCTCTTGTTATAATCAAAATGTTCTCTTCAGAGTTCCCTAAAATTACCATACACACTCTTGCTTCCACATCTCTGCCATGTAAATGTTCTACCTGGAATGGCTTCTCTCTTCTCTTCCTTTCTTAAAAGTTGTATCCACAACTTTTAAAGACAAGTATACATCCTACTCTTTCCAAAACATCTTTTTTGTTATTACTCCAGCACATATTCTTCCTTCCTCTGAATAACTATTAACAGTAAGTTGCATACAGTTTATTTACTCTTACTACTGTCATCAAGTCAAGCATTTTATCTATATGACCCAGATAAGACTGGACCCTACAGCAGCCTTGGATTCTTACTTGATCCTTCTAAGCAAAACTCAAAACGTGACTCCATCTCCCAAAAACAAATCCAACTCTATAAAGCTTTGATAAACTTACAGATTTTACTAAAGATTATATTGGAAAATGGAGGAAATGATTACATGTAGCAAAAAATTGTATCAACTAAATAATTTTAACTTCTTCATCTGCTAACTGCCTCATCTCTCTCTGCACACCTGCAGCTTCTCCAGTTCTGCAGCTCCCGGTATTTTCACTTTTGGCAGTGCCCCTCTCCTCTTCTATCTTCCACATAAGCTCACTCTTTAAGCTCTCTTTTTCCACAAAGAAATTTTACTTTGTCAATTTTCATTCTCCTAGCTCACCCAATAAAGGCTGAATTTGTCTTCTTCAGAATTACAGAAGGTGGCTTTAAAAAATACTTTTTATAATGCAAATAATTATTTTCATTCTATCATGAATATAATTCTCATAACAACCTTGAGAATAGATGGCATTATTACTCTCGTTTTATATACAAGAAAACAGAATATCAAAATTTGACACAACTGACAAACCTCATGGAGGTCTGAATTTGAGCCTGGGTCAGCCTGTCAGAGTGTACAGCCTGTATCCTTTCCATAACATAATACTACCTCATGGTGTTGTAAAACTGTCTTAACCAATTTTTTTGTTCCTTCAGCACAACAATCAGATACTTGACTTTTTTGGTGTCCCTCAAAAATGTCTAACATAGTATTGTTCAATAAATTTGTTTTGATTAATTGGCTCGTGGTTGCTGGTAGTTCAGACTTTAGCACTTGAATATTTAGATTCCTTATAAGTCATCCACAAGGTTTTTCCTTAGATCAGGGACTATATCACACATTGTTTTTGTGTCTCTCCGTACGTTTGCTGGAGAACTGATGAACAATCCTGTGGAGGATGAGTATAGATGATCTTTCCTTCAAAGCCCTTAGGGCAGCTCTGGTTTGCATTTTGTAAGAGGGCTTCCCGTGAAATGTCTAGTATTATTAGCAATGATCATAGCATTATACAGATTCATAAAGAGGTAATGGTAGCATCATCAACCAGGAATGGTAGCATCATCAAAGCTGATGAGAAATCACCCGCTTTTGAAATTAAGGCAACTTCAGTAATCTGAAATTATGTTATTGTACTACCTGTACAGTTTTCTATTTTAAAAAGGCATTCTGTTGGGAGTCAGAAAAATGATGTGTATCTAGGGTGAATGCAGTTGATTTAGGGACTAATTTTGCAAGTTTTTGTTTTTCTTTTTTATCTGCTTTTAGGTTACTTTGTCACCTTTTCAGTCTCATTGTTATGATTCGCTATCATGTAGTACTGATGCCAAACACAGTACTTATAGTTGTTTTTCATTTGTTTTGGCCACCATAAAACATAAACCTAGACACGGTAGCAACTCATCAGCTCATCTAGATGTTCTCCAGTTTTTATAACATACCATGAAGGCCCTGGTAATGATCTTAGGGATTCAGAGTGCACTGATGCTTTTTCTAAGCTGGAATCTGCCTCTTTTGAAAGCTTCCCCAAAGAGCTGACCAGGTACAACTGGTAAATGACTTGGCTCAGTTCTGAGACAGGAAGATGGTTCCATCTACTCATTGCTATGTATCTTTCTTGAGCCTCAGAAAGTGCTCTGTTCTAGACACCAGAGGATACATGTTTCATAATAAATACAAGGTTTCATTGCCAAACTCCTGAAATACTTTTGTCAGCAGTGTTCTGACCATCACGTGCTTAAAAATGTCTATAGATTGGGAAAATGAAACACATCCCTCTGTCAGTCTGCTCTTGAGGCCAGCTGCAAGCCAAAAGAAGACCTAAATGACCACAGAGACAAAAGGGCCAGTCAGTCAATAAAAAAAATTGTATGGTTCCTGGTTATTAAATAGAAGGTCTATTCTAACCTTACTATAACCACACCATACAGATTCTTTCATGTCTTAGCAAATCTGGGTTTGCCTCTAACATTCAGAATAGTAACTGAAAGATTATTATTATAAAATATGAATAAACAACAAACACCAATATTTATGAGAAGGGTATATGTTGCTTCATGTTAGAATTAGAAAATTTCTACAATGTCGGTTTGGAGAGTGTGTTCCTCCAAGATGAAAAAAAGGCATGTACATGCCTTTTTTTAAATAAAGTCAGTACTTTTATCGCTCTGTCTTGAGCCTCAGCACATTATTGCTATTCAACTTCTCCAACTGCTGGCATCGGTAATTTTATTCCCCTGGTGTTCCTCAGTTTTGCGGCTCATTTCAAATTGATCATTTGCTTTCCTGGCCATCTATTGTGGTCTGCCAACCTATTCTTCCCAGTCACCTTTCAGAATAGATCCCCTAGGATGTTTAGTCTGTGTGGTTACTTCTTACCTCTCACCTGGTGATGTAATTTGGATGAGCTGTTTACTTCTTTGATAGGATGTAAGATTATCTAATCTCATTGTTTCATTTGTACTTTTATCGTTTTTATGAAGCATTGTATAGTAACACCTGATCAGAGTGCATCACTTTTGAGGGGCATGGAAAATACCAGATCCATTCCCAGATCCAGGGTGGTATGGAGTTTGCCTGGAGTAAAGTTGAACTGCCAGTTTATCACACAGCAGTGCACAGGAGTTTGTAACTATATCTAAACAAACCCTTAATTACAGCAGTACCACAGGACACTGTTCTTGCAATAACAGCAGAACTATAGCAACATCTACTCAGACACTGATCCTCCTGACAAAGGCTAGCATACCTATAAAAGGTGTGATTTAAAAAAAATTCCACTTCCTTCCCATCCGGGATTAACTGGGACAAATTTGAACTTTACACATGGGTTTGGAAATGCCTGAGACAGAACACACTTCAGAATACCCACTATTCATTAAAAAACAGGGCAGGACATGTGTTTTGAGCATGGAAGACAGAAAATAATAAGATTTTCTGGAGGCCAAAGGTAAAGCAACAACAGCTCATGGAAGGGGTTGGTGGTAAAGTTATGACCACAACCATATTACTAGAGTGATAATCTTGGACAAGAAAAATACTTTCTTTTTTTAGAAGCCAGGAATTAGTGGAGACCCCAAGAAGATGAGCCTCATGACTATGACTGGACTCTAGCTTGACTAGAAGGACAAAAGCTGGGTCTTAGAAGAAAAGAACTATTAATACATTGTTTAGGTCAGATTTAGGGTGAATATGGAGGGAAACGGGCTAAAGAGAGCTTAGGCTGGGCAAGGCATGGATGATGGATTGGTCTTTTAAAATTGATTCAAGACACTTGGCTGGAGATGCCCATCTAAAAAACTTTGGAAACACAAGCCAAAATGCTGAATGTTAGCCAGTGCCATATATCGGTGGACCTTGAAACTCTCATGCCTGAGTAAAGTGTATTTATGTACTTCAACTGACCCAAGTGGAATGGGGTGATTGAATTCATGTAGGGGACAGTTATGAAGGTGGGAGGTAAAGGGAGATGTCATATGGGGAGTGATTACAAAAGGAGGAGCAAAGTCAAACAGCTGGGGCTCAAGGTGCCTACTTCCTGGCAGTGTGACCTTTAGCAAGTTTAATTTTTCCCATCTGTAAAATAGGGGTGAAAAGAATACTTGCCTCTCAGGTTATGAAGAGGTGAGATGAGATGATGGAAGAACAGTACCTGAATTTCATCATGGCCACACAGAAAGAGAAAAGCCTGACGCTACCACAATACACATGCCTGTGCACATGTGCGCGTGCGTGCGCGCGCGCGCACACACACACACACACACACAACTAGAATTTCTGGACAATTCAGCTTTATAGGGTCAGAGATAATAAATATGAACCACCCTAGTTACCCTAAAATGGTGGAGGGAGCTGTAGCTGTGCTAACAAGATTATGAAAAATAAGAAGTTTGCTGAAATGCAGAGTCCCATACCAAATATCTCCGAAGGTCCAACTGAGAGGCTATCTAGAGCATTTGGAAAAGGATTAAGATTTTGTAAAGAAAAACTCCTCATTATTTTCCTGGCAGTTTTTTAATCTCCAGAAAATGCCTGGAGCTTTAACCAAATCCCAGTTGGAAACTTCTACAGCTCCAAATGATGTGCAAGGTCTTGCCAAGAACATGCTCATTGCATGGACTTTGAAAATGAATGGTTCACACTGGCTAAAAGGCCAAGCACAAACTAATATCAAAAACAAAAAATGCGGCCGGGAGTAGTGGCTCATGCCTGTAATCCCAGCACTCTGGGAGGCTGAGGCGGGCGGATCATGAGTTGAGGAGATGGAGACCATCCTGGCTAACATGGAGAAACCCTGTGTCTACTAAAAATAAAAAAAATTAGCCGGGCATGGTGGCGGGTGCCTGTAGTCCCAGTTACTCGTGAGGCTGAGGCAGGAGAATGGCGTGAACCTGGGAGGCAGAGCTTGCAGTGAGCCAAGATCGCGCCACTGCACTCTAGCCTGGGTGACAGAGCGAGACTCTGTCTCAAAAAAAAAAAAAAAAAAAAAAAAAAATGCTGTGGAAGCAATACCAACAAAGAATATGAGCAGAAGTAACTAGAGATGGGACAAATGAAGCTCCACACCACATGAATGACTTGGAGCATGTTAAATGGGAGGCATGGTGCAGAACGAAATGCCAGACATTAGAAATGATCAGAAAATAAGGATTGTCCCACTGGGAAAAGAGGAAACAAGAAGAATGTGGTTTTTAAAAATTGCTTCAACAAGGCTGGGCATGGGGCTCATGCCTGTAATCCCACCACTTTGGGAGGCCAAGGTGGGTGGATCACTTGAGGCCAGGAGTTTGGGCCAGCCTTGCCAAGATGGAAAAACCCTGTCTCTATTAAAAATACAAAAATTAGCTGGATGTGGTGGTGCATGTAATTCCAGCTACTCGGGAGGCTGAGGCAAGAGAATCGCTTACAGTGAGTGGAGATTGTGCCACTGCACTCCAGCCTGGGTGACACAGGGAGACTCTGTCTCAAAAAAATTTAAAAGGTAAAATAAAAAAATAAAAAATTGCTTCAACAGACCACAGGCCTTAGAATAAAAACAATAAGAGCATTCAATCAAGAATTGAGGGACTCAGTGGGGGTAGGGAGGGAAGTTAGGAAAATAAATAAAACATAACAGTGAGCTACAGCAGTGAGGTAATTTTGGAGAATGAATGATCAGATGGCTAAAATAATCAGCAATGGTAGGGTTAAATATGAATCTGGAAAGTAACAAATACTTTTTTTTTCATTTCACTAGAAATTGCATAACTATTAGTACAAGAACCAGAGTGAGATGTTGCCTGAAACATGGAACAGAGAAAAATAAAGTGCCTTAATATGGAAAAAAAAATCCTTTCAAAAGGCAGACTGATAGACATTTATTGATTTTATTAACATAGCAAAAACAAATCTGCCAGTCAGAATGGAGTTATTGTCCCGAAAGCCTGAAAAAAAGTACAGTTATAGGAGCACAGGTAGGCATAGGGCAAAGGTTCGCTGAGTCAGTGCTCTTTTAGTATTATAGTTGCATTGGTAACATCATCTCTGTCATGTCTCTTGGGGAGGTGGACACAGCAGGCTGTCTTAGCTGGACGCCTTTTAAATATTCAGGCACCTAGCTCACCAGCAACTGTCAGATTATAATTGGCCAGCCCATGCAGATGGGCATAACGGGACAGAACGCATAGCTTAAGTCAATATGTGCCTTCCAGTTGAACTGAAGCTGTATTTATCTTTTAAATGACTGAACTGATGTTATGCTATAATACCACAGTTTCATGAATTTGGATAATGTGAAGTCATCCCCGTGAGATGAAGTTTCTTTGGTGTGCTGAATATACCATATTTCTTAGTTTCTTACACCTAAAAATAAGACCCTAGGTCCCACAACCAGTAAACTTGCCAAAATAATAAATACCACCTTTGGGGGTCAGGGGAGGGAGTCTTTTGTGGTAGCTAATTATTCTTCCTTAAGTGACAACCTCCTGCACCACCATTAGCACTGAGTGCCTTCCTTCTTGAAATTTAATAGACACAGGGGCACATACACTCACACGTGCACACAGACACATGCTATAATTAGAAGATAATTAGGAAGGAGCACGGGGGATGGGATGATCTTTTTTTAATTTCTAGGTTTAAGAAAGTACAGACAGACAACTTTGAGGAGCAATTATTTCCTACTTGAATTATTGCAACTACAGCCAAACAGAAATTAATGTGCATCTCTGGATAATACGTGTTTATCCAAGTTAATTAGACACCATGAGTATGAAAACAGACATCCTGCTAGGATCACAGAGACACTAATAAATCATACCACATAGCTACACACAAGTAATGTAAGAACTTGAGAACTATTACCTAAAAAGACAATATTTTAAATATAAACATCATCTCTAATTCCTGAAAAGGCACTTGCCAAAAGCTGTGTGCAAAGCTGAGAGAGGTGACAAAGTAAGGGCTCCATGAAAAACTCACACAGACTTTGAAACTTCTGAAAAGCAAGTGGTGAACAGTAATATTCACAGGTACAATTATATTACATTTTGCTTTGAAGAGGTCAAGAGAGGCGGCATTATTTACAACACCAGTTGCAGTTTTGTCTTTCTTTCTAGCCTCCGATTAAATTTTGACCCTTTTCCTTTTGAAAATACTTTGGTGTTTACTTTTTTCATTTAGTTGTTCTTTATTGTTAATAGTGAGGCTATTTCTGTTCCCATTCACAAATTATGTCTGCACCTTTTTAACATCCCTTCAAAGGGCTACTTCAAATAATTACAATTTATGCATGAAATCATATGATGTCTGGGAATAATGGGGGCAGGGAGGGAATATGGATGAAACAAGGCTGGCCACAAGTTGGTAAACACTGGAGCTGGGAAATGGGCACACAGGAGTTGGTTGCACTATGTTTAAAATTTTCCAAAATGAAAAAATTTTTAAATAAAACTTTCATTATAGTTACATCAGGTACCTTGTGACAATAACTTTCTGGTGAAGGACATTATCATAAGTTAAGCTAAAGTCAGAAGAAATGATATGTCTCTCATTGGCACAAGTGCAATTTAAACCTAATCCACAAATCTATATAGCATTTTGAGGGACCTTACCCTAAAGACACGTCCAAAGAGGCCAGGTCCTTTTCTAAATACTCTCACTTATCATGTCAATAATAGAACCACCTAGGCTACTGTAGTTACTCTTACGCGGGTTAAAGTTTAGCTATAAGCTTCTTGGCAATCAAGGTAAAAATGAAACTATAATGAGTAATAAAATTTATATTCAGATAAAAGAAAATACCAAATAGATTTTTCCCTGACATTAAATTCTAATGTGTAAATTACTTTTAGTGAGTTTTTTTTAACAGAAAGGACACTATATAACATAATGAACACCATGGCTTCACAGATGAAGCATTTCTTATATAGTCAGTCCTTGAATCATTTCCTCCTAAACACCAAGGGCTTTTTACACTTGGTTCAGTGAAGGCAAAGCAACTCGATTCTACAGAAGCCCAGATATGTATTCTTTGATATCAACTATCAAGTTAGAAATACGAACATATTATTTAAAGGAGAAAATGGGGAGCATGCCAATAATCCTTGAATACACTTTTCTCTGCCTAATTTAAGTCAATTCAGAATTAAACCTTCTGGTGAGAGTCCAAATTACAAATTACAGAAAGGTTCATATTCTTCGGATTTGGGAATGAGTTTTCACAATGACCTTCAAGTTATATATATAACTTTTGTATATTTTTGCCTATTTACATATATATTAAGGCTTTCTTACCCAGATAACTAAAACAGAAAGGTGCCGTGGACTAGGGGTGGAGATGTGTAAGTTCCAGATATATCCCTACTAGTTTATGTAGCCTTGAGCAAGTAACTTAAACTTTTCTGAGTCTTATTTCTTCATCTCAAAACTAGGTTTTCCAACTAAATGTTTCCACTACTTTGAGACACTAACAGATCCCTCTAATCTTTGTGAATATGAAAATCTCAAGGTGTCATTTAGTGTATAGTTTATCTCACCAGGATTATATCTGAATCACTCGTGTTCTCATCTTCAGTCAATACCTTACATTCCTCTACAAAGTTCAGACTCTGCTTCCTTTTCATTTCCCAAGAAGCGGCCTATAACAAGGAATTAACAAAAAAAATACAAGGATTAGTGGCAATCAATGGTACATACTAAACTACCTTCACTCTTCATTCTGCCTCTACTTACTGCAGACTTTTGTAGGATATATAGCGAAAATTCAATTTCCGATCTTTGTGTATGATAAGCGCTTGATAAGACTTAGAGCATATCTGCCTTCCTAATGCCATGCTGCTTAGGTTAATATTAAAATTAATTATATTTCCTGCACCTTCTCTGTTAGTGGTAATGCCTAGTGTGTTTATTGGACAGGATATTAGAAATTTACTACAAGTAATCTTCGAGTAATCAAATGTTGTTTCAATTACAGTTTAAAATCTGATTAAATTCATTTTTCAAGTGCTTATAAAGAATTTCACAATCTCCTGATTTATCCAGGAGAAAATTGGGTTTTCTAGATTTTCTTAAAGATATAATGTCTTCTGGAGTGAAATTAGCTTATCTTTCTTTTTATTTTTATTTTTTTTGAGATGGAGTTTCGCTCTTTCACCCAGGCTGGAGTGCAGTGGTGTGATCTTGGCTCACTGCAACCTCCACCTTCCAGTTTCAAGCAATTATCCTACCTCAGTCTCTAGAACAGCTGAGATTACAGGTGCCCACCACCACGCCTGGGAAATTAGCTTATCTTTCTAAGAGCTGATATACAATCTGTCACCATTTCTTCATCTTCCACTTAGCAGTAAATTCATTACTTTTAATGGCAAAAACAGCAATTACTTTTGCACGAATCTATAATCTTGTTTCTACCCTTTCTACTCCAACAACAAAAATACTCCTGAGATCATCCCTCTTACCTCTAAATCATTAAGCCAACAGACAATTTTTAGGCCTTTGGCCAGTTGAGTTGGCTTCTCAACAGAATTTAGCCTTCGTGACAGTCTCTCTTCAAATCACCCTTTTCCCCCATTTTGGCTTTAATGAAATAATAAATTCCTGGTTTCTTCTCTTACTGCTCTGGCAATTCCTTCACAATCTCTGTGCACATCTATACTCTCGTAGCTAGCCACAAAATGCTAAAATTCCTCAAGCTTCTGTCTAGTCCTTCTTTTCTTCTTACCCATTCAACCTCACTCATCCTTAGGTATGTAAATACCTCACAAGACTGTCTCCTATTTAAACCTCACCTCTGAAATCCAGACTCATGTATATGACTTTTCTCTTGGCACATCCTCTTGGAAGCCTCAAATTATGTAAGCTGAACTCATGCTGTTCTCCACAAGCCCAGTCACCTTCTACAATTCCCAATTTCAATTAATGGAATCACCATTCAACCTGGTGAAAGAACTCAAAATTCTGTAGTCATTCTGCCATTTTCCTCTACATGATCCTCTATATCCAATAAAGACTGCCTCCAGGAAAGGGCAGAGTTACCTCCTCCATCACCATCATCCTAGCCTACACCACTGTGATCTCTCCATCAGAGCATGGTCAAGTCTCCTAACTGCTCTGCCCACATTCACTTTTGTTAAGCATTATCTGTGAAACAGAAATACCATGTACTGGTTATCAGTTCCAGAGGAGGAGTCTCATAACTTCTGCCTATAGTATCTTGGTTATTGGAGTTGCCAAAGAAAACACAACGCAGTCAGGCACTAGATGGAACAATGCTTTACTCACATAGAGAAGAGATAAAGCAAGATCAGCCTCAGAAGTGTGTATCAGTCCCCCATGGCCCAGCAGCCTCCTCCATCAGCCAATGTTGGGCAATTGGCTACATGCACCCTTCTCATGCTACAGGAGACAGATGCTGTGTTCCCTCCCCAAGGAAGACAGATATAGCAGTGGGGTTGACCAAGGTTTCATGTGACACACGCATTTAAGCAGTATAGAAGAGCATACACTGGGCTTGCAACAGAGAAAGATATTTCTGCACAAGGCAAAAAACCCAGCATAGGCCATGTGTGCTCTTTATCTCTCGGTAAGAAAGAGTCCCAGGCTCAAGGTCCATCTTTATGCATCAAAGTGGAGGCTAAAAGGCTATACCCCTGAGACTGTCTTTCCCAACAACTCTGCTCTCTACTAACCTTTCTTCTATACTCGGCCAAAGCAATCTTTACTAAAGAAAACTCTGGTCATGTCACTTCCCTGCTTGAAACTCTTCAATGGTTTCCCATTACTTATAGGATAAATGCAAAACCCCTTATGACTGGCCTATAGTACCTGCCCTACTCCTTCACACCACAGTCCATTTCCATCTCTTTTCCCTGCCATAGATTACTTGTCTTTTTAAAGTTCTTTGTATTCACCATATTCCCTCTTTAGCAAATGCTGTTCTCATTGCTTAGAAGTGCTTTTCCTCCCCTTCTACCAATGTAATTACATTTCAATCCTAAAAGGCTAGTTACCATATTTTCTGGGAAGATGTTCCTGTCCTATCAGAGTCAAAAACCCTTATTATAAACAGTCATGCTACTGTGTCATAAAAACTGCCATAGTAGCAGTTGACGTTTGTCTCTGTAATTATTGGGTGTCTGTCTCTATCACTAGACTGTAAGTTTGATGGTGGCAAAAACCATATGTGGTTTTATTAGCAAATCTCCTGTGACTGGCATACTGAATGGCACACAGTAAAATTATACATATATATATATATACACACACAGACACATCTATGTTTACATTGGTATATGTATACATATATGTGTATATATATCTACATGAAGTGTGTGTATATTGCTTCACATAGCTTTACATATTATATGTGTATGCACACACACACACACACACACACACACACACACACACACGCATGCATACTGAGTCCCTGTATTTAATGTCTAAAATGTTTTGCTCTAATACTTGGACACACTCCCAACTTCTCAATGGACTGTATGTTTTTAGAGCATGCAACATATCTATACAATAAACTGACAAATCCTAAATCTTGAAACTGCACAGCTAATGAGTTTTTCTGGAATTCCAAGTTAAAAGAGATATGATTATAAAGTGATAACATGCAGGAGTTCGAACACAGCAAGGGTTGAATATCTGAATATATAAAACTTTACATTCAAGTACAATACATAATTCAAATCAACAAAAAACCTGAAATTCTGTAGGTTGTAAACAGATTCAGCTTGGCTCATATAGTCTCAAGAAAAGATTTGGGCAAAAATTTCAAAATCATAGGAAAATGGACTTGAAATACTTTAAGAGGATGAGCAGCCCAAAAATGGTATTAAGGAAAGGCTGCCTTAGGAGGTAAGGATTTTTACTAAAGATTTTCAGAGAGTCTGTATACCATTTGCCGAATATATTATAAAGGAATGTGTGAGAGATTTCTATAATGTAACTACTATTCAAAATAATTCCTTTTGAAGCTTGCAGTGAGCTGAGATCACGCCACTGCACTCCAGCCTGGGCGACAGAGCGAGACTTCGTCTCAAAAAAAATAAGAATAAGAATAAGAATAAGAATAATTCCTTTTGAAAAGACCATGCATAAAATATCTTGCCTCCCTCCATGACTACACTCCCACCATGACTACCCACTGTCTTACACTGGGCAGAACTCAGCAGATATTTGCTAATTAAATAAGTTTATGGCTTTCAGAGCCTATAGCAGTTCATTTGAATATTTTCTATGGTGAACAATATCGACTCTTTAAGGTCGAATTTAATTTGTGGAAATAGTAAAAGGGCATTAGAAGTCAAATGTGATGGACAAGGTAGATAAACTAGGCAGTAAATTTTGGCTTAAGAAGATATAAAATGAAAGTTATTGAGATGATGTCTATAATCATTCAGCACTGCACCTAGCACAGGGTAAATGCCCATTCAATTGTAGGCATTAATATTGTTATAAGCTGAATCTGAGGGCAAATTCTCAAAAAAAAAGAATTAAATAATGGCAACTCTGTAAGAATAAATGTGTTGTGATTCTTTTCAAAGAAGTAAACTCATTTGGACACATGAAAATTCTAGAGTTGTGCATTTGTTAACATGACTCTCAACACTTAGTAATACATTAACATTATATCCCAGTTTTTTCAGAACCTTGATTACAGGGTAACAATATGTATGATTTAGTTAAGCATTTTTCCTATAAAGCATTGAATGCAAAACTTAAAGATTAAAGGTTTATCCTATATGAATATTTCTCCCTTAAATACAAATTTAAAAGCCTTTTCCCACCTGGGCATTCTTCAGGCACCCTTCAGTTGGTTGAGCTCTCCAGACAGTGGTAATATTAGCAATCTGACTTCTCTTTCAAAACAGAGAATACAGAAAAAAAAATTAGAAATTGGGACCTTGTCCAGGAAACACAGATTGCAATGTATATTTTATAATTAAAGTGTCTTAAAATGTGAAAATGAAGCAAAACCTTGACTGAATGCTATTTCCAGAATGAGTGAATTGTTTTGTGAATAAGAAACAATAATAATACCTGGGATCTCTCAGCTAGTTTGACATTTTCTGGCAGAGCTACTGGAATTCTCTGCTGTTGAGAGTTCATTTTCTCCTCCATAGACTTTTTCATAATTTTTGTTTCTGAAATATACTCTACATCAGAGTCTGTCTCTTCTATGTTTCTTTTCTGTCCTCTACGGCTCGCTGAAAGCTCAAAGGATGAAAGAGATTCATGCTTCAAGTCATCGCCCAAAAGCCTGATTTTCTGGGTTTTGGTATTTTCCTTAAATAACAAAGAACATGTTTTTATTTTTTGGTAGATAGCCTATTTATAATTAATCACCACTTCTCTCATAACCTCATTATAATAGGTATTTCTTATTACTACTAAAAAGTTTTTAAATCAGAAGCTTAGAAACAACTTTAATAATGTATAATGCCACAATGGCTCATTAAGAATTTGATTCATAAATAGCTGCAAAGTTGTGCTGGGTCAAGAAATCTGATTTTGAGGAATAAAAAGCCCAGCAATTGAGAACATACTGTGCATTCTGACTTTCCCCCAATAGAGGTTCGCTTGCCTTTGGCTCCCCGCTGCAAACAAGGCTGGTCGTCATCCCTACCCACATTCACATCCTGCTTCCTGCCCCTTGCTAGCTGCTACTGCAGCCAATGAAAGATGTATTTGCTAAGAGATCTAGAATACATGTGCCTGCTTGTTAGAGCCTACTCTCTTTTGTAAGAAACCAAAAATAACTATTAGAAGGACAGGAGTTGAGGGCAGACCACCAAGTGACACTCTAGTTATCCTAAGCATATCATTATCCTCCATAGTATTAGTGTCCACTAGTCAAGTAACCCTCTCCGCAACAGTGCTGAGGGCTCAACGAAACTCTTTAGCTCTCATTTTCCTTCACATAAACCACCAACATTTTGTAAAGTTATGATACAGTTGTGTATACTAGTTTGTTCATGGCTAAGTCAAATCTCAAGGCATGAGACAATGTTATTATTACAGAGGACTTACGATGACATGTTACAATCTATTTCCCATGGCAAATTACTTGCAGGTGATTTTTACTGCTCTCCACTCCAGAAGAATCCCTTTCTTCATCTTGCTCTCAGACTCTGGTGATAATTTATTACAAAACGGGTAGGTTCTAAGTCTGGTTCTGCAATTCAGGTATGTGGTGATCTTAGATAAATTACTATAAAAGGAGGGAGTTGGATTATAAGACTATACCAGCTCCAACTTATTTCTGGGTTCATTGGTCTCTGATTCCTTGATATACTAGCAGAAGGTGCAAATTTAAAAAACACAAACACAAACTAAGAAGATAGCATGGAAACAACTGTTCCAATATTTAAAGTGAATAGTAAAGAAATGCCAAAGATACAAAATACATTATGTATATCAGAAATCTATTTATTTAAAGGTTGTCTGAGTTTATAAATCCCATCGTCTGCCTGTTAAGAAATGTGAATAATTAAAATTATAAAGAGTTCCATATTTTTGTGTGTGACTGATATAACTGAGAAGCTCTAACTAAAGGCTCAAAAATGTTCCTCTCTAAATTTTAAATTCTACATAAGAACAGACATTTGAGGAATATAACGTAACATGACATTTAGCAAACACAAGAAATGATATAGGAACTATATATACAACATATTTCTAGGCAAATTCACATCCATAGACAAAAAATATATATGTATATATCCCTAGAAAGTATTGGAAAGAAATACATTATTTAAAAAGGTTTTTATGTGCAGGAAGTAAGATAATGGGTGATTTAAATTTTATTTATATTTTACTTTCTAACTTATCCCTAATAAACATGTATTACTCTAACAAGAATAAAATGGCAGTTAAAATCTACTAGTGCTTCACTATGTGAACCTCATAAACCATGATGACAGTTGGCCCTTGATAAGGCTTCTCCTTCACATGGTTAAAACATGACACAAATTGCTTAATCCTATATTAATTACTCACCTTATGTGCTGAAGTTAGGCAGGTGGAAGTGACAGTGATTTCGTCCACTGGTATAAATTGAGGCTTTATGGGAAAGCAAACCATTAAGGCAAATGTAAGTAAAAATAAGCTTCAACTGGCATAGGGTAATAATTCAGCATTCTCCATTTCTTAAAGAAGGGTCAAGATAGCAAACCCTCATGAATAATTGTTCAAGGAGTGCATTTAAGTTTAGATATCCTGTAGTAATGTTCTGATTAGTAGTGACAAGACAGTGCAAGAAAATCCAATGGTTTGTTGAAGCATTATGGATCAAATGTGTTATGAACAAGGCACTGCTCTGTTGAACTGGGTCTCGTTTCCAGCCTCCACAGCCCTTGTCTCTTTTCTCTCAAGACTCTGTTCCCCACCTACAGAGTACAGGGTCTGGAAGGAATTCTGACCTTAGGCAGTAGCACTATCTAGTTCAGAGCTCTAGGTGTCAGCTTCAATGGACTCTTGAGGGTAAACTGGCCTCGACTGTGTCCTTAACGCACTCAATGCCCAATCACATTTACTATTCCTCAGGCTTATTTTCATGTTTCCATACTTTGGCCTGAAATGACTTTCCCAACCTTGTCCATTTGTCAAATTCCACTCACCCTTCAAGTCTCAGTTAAATTATCTATCCTGAAGGTCTCCTCCAATTCCCCAAGGGAGAACTAATTGCTTTATCTTCTATGCCGTCATGGCATTGTTTCTCTTCACATGTTTATGGAGGTAATATAGTCACATATGACAACACATGTTTAGAAGTATATTAAAATGAAGCCTCTTTACTACTTCATTCTCCACTTGTCTAATTCATATTCCATTAATATGTGACCACTGATACCACTGTCTCGCTTAATCTTTCTGGAGATGTGTTTATATAGCATATATAAGCACATATATATGTGTGTGTGTGTGTGTGTGTGTATACATATATATACAAATTTTTCCCACTTTTTGTGGTAGGGAAATATGGTAGCATATTATACACATGGTCTGAATTGTTGAATCGTGCCTTTTCATCGAAGGATATATCCTAGAGGTTTTTCTCTTTAGTGTATAAAGAGCTTCTTATTCTTTTACAGCTGTATTATATTCCAGTGTATTGTTGTAAAAAAGTGTATTTAACCAGGTCTATTGACAGACATTTGGATCTTCTCAATCTTTTACTATACAAACAACCTTGTAAATAGGTAATTTCACATTTGGGTGAATATGTCCATATAATCAATTTCCAAAAGTGACATTTCTGGGTCAACAGGTACATGCATTTATAATTTGGATAGACACTGCTAAATTTCTCCACCAGGCTTTTTGGTGGCCTAGCATATAGGCCTAGTATATACGATTATTCCAAGGGTACTTGAAGAGAAATACATACTTACATACTCTATTTTGAGAGTGCAGAGTATATATATATATATAATTATATGTATATTGCTATTATTATTATTGATTGTTTAGGTATCCCTGAGCTGAGAGTAAGTTAAAGTTTCCTATTACTAGTATGATTGTCTCTTTTTTCATGTATCACTTGTAATTATTGCTTTATTGATGTCATATACATGTTTGACATTAGTTCAATCATTTTATTTTATCCTTTACTTTTATAATTTAAGTTTTTAATGATACATTGTATTTTCTTTTTTTCTGGTGACCTCCATTATGATGATAACTATATATAATATTTTTAGCTTTCTCTGTCTTTAGACAGGATCTATGTATTTCCTACTCTGAACAGTGGCAAAATTTGTTTATTTTTTCTTCCCCGTTTTCTTCCCCTGATATTTATCAACAGTATGATCCTTCTCAGTGTTTACCTTAGTACTAAGAAGTATGCTAAAATCAAATAAATGACACCTCTTGGTCTCCTATTACAGTTGAGGCAAACGTCAAACTACTTTTCCCCTTCTATCACCCTTGACTTTCCTTTTTGGTTAGCCGAATTATTTTTACATTGCCAGGGTATTTACATTCAGTTTGGTGTCTAATGTCACATTTGTTTTAGGCTTTTTGCTTTAATTAAATACAGTCAATGCTTACATTCAGTCCTTTGATGTAGAATTTTCAGACATCTCTTGCTGGTTGAAGTTTGATCCCTAGTAGTTTCCTCAAAAAGAGACCATGAGAATATTTCCTGAGTTCTTTCCTATTTTTACGTTTTTTGTTGTTTTTTTTTTTTTTTTTGAGACAGAGTCTTGCTCTGTCACCAGGCTGGAGTGCAGTGGCGCAATCTCTGCTCACCGCAACCTCCACCTCCTGGGTTCGAGTGATCCTCCTGCCTCAGCCTCCCAAGTAGCTGGGACTACAGGCGCATGCCACCACGCCCAGCTAATTTTTGTATTTTTAGTAGAGACAGGGTTTCACCATGTTGGCCAGGATGGTCTCCATCTCTTGACCTCATGATCCGCCCACCTCAGCCTCCCAAAGTGCTGGGATTACAGGCGTGAGCCACCACGCCTGGCCCTTTCCTACTTTTAAATCTATTTAGCTGTAGGCTTTTTATGTGAAGAGTAATTTGGTGAATATAAAAGTCTTGGTTTACACTTCCTTTCCATGAGGATCTTACAGTTTTTACTTCATCACCTGAAGCTGATTTTTTTTAGAGAAGTTTGAAGCCAAAGTGAACTGTTTTGTCCCTATAGGTGACTTGATGTTTATACCTCTTGGTCAAAGGAATCTATATTTTTTTTTTACAGTGGAGTAATTTTATTATAATATATGTCTTACTGTTGACTATTCTGGGGACAGTTTTTCCCTATTGTGGAGCATACCATTTCAAACACGTAGCTTCAAGTTTTACCGTTTTCCTGAAAAGTGTGCCTGATTTATACCTTTAAAAATGTGTTCTTCCATTACTCTGTTTTCCCTGGGTATTCAAATTGTTCAAATATTGTGTCTCCTTCTTACTGCTATCATTCATGATCATTTTCTGTGTAACTAATTGTAAGCAATTCTTTCCTAATTTCTATTATTTTATTTGCTTTTTACTTTTATCTTCTATACCAGGGGACAGCAAACTTTTTCTGTAAAAGGCTAGATAGTAAATAGTTTTGCAGGTCACATACAGTCTCTGTTGTGTATTCTTTTCTCTCTCTCTCTTCTCCCTCTTTCTCTCTTTACCATCTACAAATGTAAAAGTCATTTTCAGCTTGTGGGCCATAAATGAACAGGACTAGATTTGGCCCATAGGTAATAGTTGGTGACCTTTGCTCTATATCCCCACTATGCTTACCAAAATGATAATTTGCCTTGTGTTTTTTCCAATTGTATGATTTCATTTCTTCTGTTTAAGTTCTGCAAATTATGTTTTATTTCATTGTCTCGTATAGTCTCAGCATCTCTTCATAAATCCTTATATTTGTTTCAGAATCTTCTTTCATAAAAATGATTTTTTTCATTGGGTTTTTAAAAATGTATGTATAAATGTGTATGTTTAATTTCCTTCTGATGTGCATTTTAATTTTTCTTTTCTCTAATTTACAGCTTTAGTGAGATATAGTTGACGAACAAATAACAGCACAAAATTCAAATACATAATTTGAAAGATTTTGATATATGTATAATAATCAAGATAATTAACATACTGATCATCCCCAAAAGTTTCCTTGTCTCCCCACCACCTCTTCCAACCCTGCCCCATCCCTAACCAACCACTGATCTGCTTTCTCTTGCTGTCAATTAGCTGTATCTTCTGGAGTTTTATATTAAGTGAAATCACACAGTATGTAATCTTGACTTCTTTCACTTAGAATAATTATTTAAAAACTCATCCATATTGCTGTGTGAATCAAGAGTGCACTCCTTCCTGTTACTAAGTAGCTTTCCACTGAATGGACATGCCATAATTTGTCCTTTCGCCTTTTGATGGTCATCTGGATGTTTTCCAGGTTTTGGCAATTACAAAGCTACTTAGTATAAGCACACATGTACAAGTTTTGCGGTGGATATATGCTTACATTTCTCTTGACTAATACCTAGGAGTGGAATATCTGGGTCATATGATAGGTATATCTTTAACTTTTTAAAAAACTGCCAAACTAGGCTTACTCCTATAATCCCAACCCTTTGGGAGGCCAAGGCAGGAGGATCACTTGAGGCTAGGAGTTTGAGACTGCTGTGAGCTATAATTGTGCCACTGCACTCCAGCATGGGCAACACAGTGAGACCACATCTCAAAAAACAAAAACCAAAACAAAAAAAACCCTGCCAAACTGTTTTCCTATGTCACTTTACCATTTTGCATTTTCAATGGTTGCTCTCTATCCTAGGTCAACATAGCGTAATCATTTTAACTTTATCCATCGTAGTGAGTGTGTAGTGGTTATCTCATTGTGGTTTTAATTTGCAGTTCCCTTAATGATTAACGAAATTGACTTTTCATGTGTTTATTGGCTATCTGCATGTCTCCTTTGATTAAGTACCTGCTTAAATGTGTCTATTTTTTAACTGCATTGTCTTATTATTGTTTTTGTGCTTTGTTTTTGTTTTTTTTTTTTTTGAGATGGAGTTTCGCTCTTGCTGCCCAGGCTGAAGTGCAATGGCACAATCTGAGCTCACCGCAACCTCCGCCTCCCAGGTTCAAGCAATTCTACTGCTTCAGCCTCCAGAGTAGCTATGATTACAGGCATGCGCCACCACGCCTGGCTAATTTTGTATTTTTAGCAGAGACGGGGTTTCTCCATGTTGGTCAGGCTGGTCTTGAACTCCCAACGTCAGGTGATCCGCCCACCTTGGCCTCCCAAAGTGCTAGGATTACAGGCGTGAGCCACTGAGCCCAGCCGAGTTTTAAAAGTTCTCTCCATACTCCAGATACAAGTCCACTGTCAGGTATTATTTTGCAAATATTTTCTCCCAGTCTGTAGCTTGACTTTTCAATTTCTTAACAATGTCTTTTGAAGAGCAAAAGTCATTAATTTTGATGAGGTACAATTTAAAAAATTTTCTTTTTATAGATCATGCATTATGTGTCATTTTTTAGAAATATATGCCAAATATCAGGTCACTAAAATTTCTTCCTATATTTTCTTCTAGGTTATCTTTTACATTTAGCCCTATGATCTATTTCAAAATAATGTTGTATATGACAGGAGGTAAGAATCAATGTTTGTTATTTTGGGGGATATATGGCTATCCAAATGTTTTGGTTCCATTTGTTGAAAAGATTCTTATTCTCTCATTAAAATGTCTTGATCCCTTAGTTGAAAATCAGCTGGCTATATACATGTGGGTCTATTTCTAAACTCTCTATTCCATTTCATTGCTATATTTGTCTCTTTTTACACCAATACCACACTGACTTAATTACAGTTTTATTATGAGTATTAAAATTAGGTAGTATGATTCCTCCATCTTTGTTCTTTTTTAAGGTTATTTTTTCTAAATTCTTTGCATGCCATATAAATTTTAGAATCAGTTTTTAGTATCTATCAAAATACTTGTTTGAATTTTAATTGATGCCAACTGGGGAGAATAGACATCTTAGCAATGTTGACTCTTCAAACTCATGACATGGAATCTGTCTTCATTTATGTGTTTTATTTAATGTTTTCAGCAGTGTTCTACAGCTTTCAGTGTACAGGTCTTACATGTATTTCGTCAACGTTATCTGTAAGTAGTTCATATATTTTAATGCTATTGGAAATGGTATTTTTCAATTTCAATTTCCAACTGTTTGCTAATATATAGAAAAAGTTAATTTTTATATATTGATTTTGTGTCCTGCAACCTTGCTAAAGCTCATTTCAGTAGTTCTAGTAACTTTCTGTAAATATTATCTGTTTTCTACATAAACTATCAAATCTTGAAAGAAAAAAAACTTTTACCTCTTCTTCTGTAATCTGAGTGCCTTTTCTTTCTTTTTCTCTCTTTTCACACCATCTAGAACCTCTTGTACAATGTGGAACTGGAGGGGTGAGAGTGAAACTCCCTTGCCTCATTCCTGACCTTAGTGGGAGAACATTGATTCTTTCACTAATAAGCAAGATTTTAGCTGCAAGTGTTTTGTAGATGCCCTTTATCAGTTGAGAGAGTTTTCTTCTATTCCTGATTTTCTGAAAATTTTATCAGGAATGGCTATAGTTGCTTCTTTTTTGTCATTTATATTTTGCTAGAATTCTTTAACGTTTTTCTTGCAGTATTTTATTTATGTTATATAATTATATGGTTTCTTATTGACATTTTACTGGAATCTTTGTTTTTTTAGTGTATCTGTTTAGATGCTACACTAGTTTGTTTTTTTAAACATGTCATTATAAAAGTTGGATTTTCCAGGACCAGCTCTTTGCCAGAGCTTTCTATAGAAAGCGTTAAGTGGAGGGCAAATTTCTAGGCAAGTTATTTTTCACAAGCCTAGCTTCTTTTCCTCTGATCTCTACAAAAAATACTGCTTCTGCAAATTGTGACTTATTTGAGTCCTTTCATGTGCATTTCACATTTTCTACTAATGTGAATCAAAGTTGGTCCAGTAGGGTTCCTGTTGCCTGCTGGCTATTGCAGATAACGGCTATAGCTTTTCCATCTCTAGATGTGTCCTTCTTCAGTAAGTGTATTTGTATGGATTCTTTTGATATGCTACCGCTGGGCTCTTCCTTAGATTTCTCTTCTATTCTTCCTGTGGAGCTCCTGCATCATCTTGATTGCTTTGAGCAGCCCTGAGAAATATGTTGATATACATCTATGCTATGGCTTGAATGTGTCCCCCCAAAAGCATGTACTGGAAACTTAATCTGCAATGCAACAGTGTTGGGAGGTGGGGCCTAAAGGGAGGTGTTTAGGTTATGAGGATTCCATTCTCATGAATGGATTAATGCCAATTATTACAGGATTTGAGACTGCAAGTTCAATCTCTCTCTCTCTTGCCTTCTTTCCCTCCCTTGCTTTCTGCCATGGGATTACACAGCAAGAAGGCCCTGACAAGATACTGGCACCTTGATATTGAACTTCCCAGCCTCTAGAACTGTGAGAAATAAATTTCTTTTCTTTATAAATTACCCAATCTTTGGTATTTTGTTATAGTATCACAAAAGAGACTAAGACAGTTTCCTAGTTTGACTAAAATTTCAGTTTGCATTTTTGTCTTCCATTTTCTGTGTTGCTCTTAGAAGACTTTCAGAAAATGGGGAAATGCTAAATCTATATAGCCATATTTATACCAAAAGTCCCCTATAACACTTTACCTACCTTTATCATTGTACATATCACAATGTCTAATAGTTACATGTTGACATGTGGATCTCTTTCAATAAATTGTAAACTCCCAATTATTTGTTTTTATCTGTAGTACCTCATACAAGATTTTGAGTATTATAGGTTCTCAACAAAATGTTGATGATTGGCAGGATAAACAGATGCTTCTAGAGCCCACTGCTCACCTCTTTCATAGCCAAAACAGTACCACAAGTCTACTCTACATTCAAAAGGTGGTTATTTCTCCACTACTTGTGGGAGCTTATTACACCATTCAGATGCTTTATATTAAATTCCAGTGTATACTCTCTTCCAGTGTTTGAATCACTCTGGGATGAGTCTTGTTCCTGATACAGCAAAATGGATTTCACAATGTATGATTCTCTTAAATTATTTGGGTTTGTAATATTTTAGGTGCTAGCTTGAAGATAATTATTTCGTGCTAGTTTTATTGTAATGGATTTTGACCTGAACTATTAATCACATCACTAAACAGAATTTTGAGTAAATAAAAATTTTATAAGTTCTATAAATTACACTCTTTCATTTTAACATCAGAGTTGCTTCTAAAAAAGAACTTAAGATATTATAGAAAAACACAGCAAAGATGTATGTCTCAACTACATTTTGAGTAGAAAGACATTAATAATTATGTCAAATAAAACTTGTTTGTTTTTTGAGACAGAGTCTCACTCTGTCACCCAGGCTGGAGTGCAGTGGCGTAATCTCGGCTCACTGCAACCTCTGCCTCCTGGGTTCAAGCGATTCTCCTGCCTCAGCCTCCCGAGTAGCTGGGGTTACAGGCACCTGCCACCACGCCCAGCTAATTTGTTCGTATTTTTAGTAGAGACGGGGTTTCACCATGTTAGCCAGGTTTCGAACTCCTGACCTCAAGTGATCCGCCCTCCTTTGCCTCCCAAAGTGCTAGGATTACAGGCGGGAGCCACCACACCCAGCCCCAAATGAAACGTTTTAAGGTAGTACAGAAGCAAGAACAGACATAGCAATGACCTCCAGTAACAGGGTGAAGGCAAAAATTCACTCACAATTGGAAGAACACAGCAAGAGATAGGGGAAGAATTCAAAGACAGCTGCACTGAGCACCTTTTCTACCTTAGATCTATACCTAGAAGATTATACCATAGTCAATGAGTGGGTTACATTTTAACTGTATCTTTAGTAAAGTGCACCATATCCTTAAGAATGTTGGGTCTATTCCTCCCACCCATCTGAGTTCTGCTCATCTTCTTTAATTCTATCACATGCTACTTTCACTTTGTAACTCCAGGGGTAGCTGAAATTCAGTCACTTTGAGGAACTTACACTGGTCAGTCTTTTCATCTCTTAAAACTTATCTACCTCTGAAATGCTTTTCTCTTCTTTATAATTTATAGTTCTTCTAATTCTTTCAGGATTATTATCAATGTTCTTCATATGCATAGAAACTTCTTTTCCCACAGTTCTTTCTCTGAATTTACTATACCCCTCTTGACTTCCAGTCCATTCCCAATTCTGCCTGAGAAAAACAGTCCATCACATCAGCTATGCTCTGCCACGCATAATCCTCAATCTTGGATCAATGACATCATTTTCCATCTTTGCAGAAATTCCAAGCTGCTAAAATTTGTGCAAGTTGAGTATCTCTTATCCAAAATGCCTGGGGACAGAAGTGATTCCCAGGACAGTCTGTCTGGGAATCAGATTTGGGACTTTTTGAATTTTGGAATATTTGCATATATATAATTAGTTATCTAGGGAACCCAAGTCTGAACATGAAAACCATTTATGTTTCATATACACCTCATACACACAGTCTCAAGGTAATTTTATACAATATTTTAAATACTTTTGTGCATGAAACAACGTTTTGACTGTTTTGACTGCAACCTGTCACATAAACCAGATGAATTTTCCTCTTGTAGTGTTGTATCACACTGAAAAAATTTTAAATTTTGGATTATTTTGAATTTCAAATTTTCAGATCAGTGATGCTTAAACTATATATAACCACTGAATCCACACTACAAGAAATATGCATAATTCTCATACTCTTCTGGACAATCTTTTCACTTGTCCCTAACTAGCTTCTGTATCCATCTCCACAAAGATTGTTCCAAATCTTTACTGTACCCTCCATATAAAGCCTGCCTCTTTCACTCAGATGACCCTGACTCCTCTTTATAGGAAGGAAAAAAAAGTTAAGATTTTTAGGTGTGTGTGAACACCCTTAACTTCTTTTCTACAATCTCAGAGGAAAAAATGTCCCTCTTCCTGCCCTAACTTAAACCCTGCACCGGGGTCCTCATAATCCTTACTTCCTGTCCTTGCTGGACTCTCTACATGAAAAAGGTCCCAGGCCGGGCGCAGTGGCTCATGCCTGTAATCCCAGCACTTTGGGAGGCCGAGGTGCGCAGATGACTTGAGGTCAGGAGTTCAAGACCAGCCTGATCAACATGGTGAAACCCTGTCTCTACTAAAAAATACAAAAATTAACCAGGCATGGTGGCGGGCGCCTGTAATCCCAGCTACTGGGGAAGCTGAGGCAGGAGAATCGCTTAAATCCTGGGAGGCGGAGGTTGCAGTGAGCTGAGATCGCACCACTGCATTCCAGACTGGGTGACAGAGCAAAACTCCATCTCAAAAAAAGAAAAAAGAAAAGAAAGAAAAAAGGAAAAGGTCCCATCACACCTGTGTGCTGTATTTCTTCAATTTTACTGGCTTTTTCCTCTTACTCCAGAAACATTGTCTAATCTCTCCTAACCATGAATTTACCTCAACCCTACCTAATGCTCTAGCTGTAACCCCATGTTTCTTTGCTCCTTTAGTACAAAACTTCCTAACACAGCTTATTACCCATGGCGTCTATTTCTTTACTTTCCATTCACTACTTCCCCTCATCCCACCTGGCTTTCCCTCTGAAACTTATCTTGCTGAGCTTGGCAATCAATCGCCTTTCTGTTATAAGGCCCAATGGACTTAGCACGATGCTTAGATCATAATAGATATAAAGGAAATACTTGCATACTTAATTTAATAATCTAATGGAATTGAAGTGAAAAAGTCAAAGCAAAATAGTAAAACACAAGATCAGGAGAAAGTTTTCTAAAGCATTAAGACAAAAAGTAGGATACTTTTGGTTTATCTTTTGAAGCATCTTCTGTGGAAAGAGCGATATACATAAAATTAGTGCACTAAATTTGCACATGTTAAGTGTACTAAATGAAGTTGACCTAAACGAAAAATGTAAATAGTTCCCCTAAAAGTTTTCCTTCTGGTTCTAATTAGAGATAGAGATTTCCACTAATAGATACATTTCAACTAATAGATGAAGATTTTCAGCATCAGTTTTGGGGCTGGCCTATAGTTTTAAAAATACATTTTTTTAAAATCACATATGTACTTTTTTTGAGGAATGCATTCTTACATCTTTGATTGAATTTTTGTAAAATAGAAATCTGAATAACACAGTTAACCTACTTCAAAATCTGAGTTACTTAATGAGTAGCTGTTTACCAATGATAGCATCTTTTTTTATCATCATCATCATCTTTTCAGATTTCAAAGAAGAATCATTACCCTAGAAAGCTTGAAAATATCAGTATTCATTTTTAAATGACACTTATAACTTCTCCCAGCAAGACTATTACATTTCTTTATGAGTTCAGAAAGTCCCGCAAATCACACACTGAATCAGTGAGAGCTGCATAAGATGAACTGTCTCTGGAAGTAGAAACACTGAAGAATCCTTAAACCAGGAATAAAGAAGTGAATATTGGTGGTGCATACATCTGGGAAGCAGCAGAAATGGAGATTCCAAAGCACCAGACCAAGAGATTCTTGTTTAGTCCGTCTGGTGTAGATCTCAGGAGTGAATATTTCTATAAAATTGTGACATTGTTTTCAAACAGACAGTCCCATAATCTTAGACTCACAGCCCTGGAAAGTAAAGAATGCTCCTTTCTAATTTTCTATCAATTCTTTGTGGGACTATAGAGAAAATACTTTTATGTTTCTGTACAGTTAGGATTTTCTGATTAAATTTACTTCACTTGGGACCTGGACTAAAAGAACAAATCTTAGAATTTAATCTGCAACTGATTATTAGTGGAGAGGGCATGTGAAGAGATTTGCCTCCAGAGACATTTACCTCCCTGGAAATATGTGTTTACATTTTAAGGGAGGAATAAAATCTGGGACCACAGAGACAAGACCAGAATTGTAAAGCTGGAGAAACTAGTCTCATCTTCCCCTACCCCCAGAGATCTGTTTATATTCCAAAGGGTAAGAGTTACAACTCAGGGCCCTTCCCAAAGAGCAAAAGAATGTGGAGAGGGTGGTTGCCACTCTCATACAGAAATGTCCAGATACATTTTCTTAGGAGTTCTTTGCCTGCAGTACAAATTGTAAGATATCATCTGATCTGACTCTCACCCAATCCATTGCTCCAGGGGTAAAAACCAGAGCAAAGGGTGATTCCTTGTGTTATATATAATACTTTGCTCTGCTCCAGAAATATCATGTTTATATTCAAAATGGTATTAGTAAATATAGATATTTCAAACATAACTGCTTGTGATAGAAGATTGGCAACTGATATTCACGGGTTCTAAAATTTGAATGGGTCTTTGCAAACATCTAGCTTAATTCCTCACCTCCACCTTTTTTACTTGTTAAAACAGGAACTCCTCGACTGTGTCCTCTCCCTATTCCTCTCCCAAAGGAAGAGAGGAATGATCACCAAGAGCAAATGAACGGCCAGTTGCAGTGAAGCAACACCGGTTCCATGCTCAGGAGAGAATGCTGCGCCTCCTCGTGGTTTCCTGTGCCCTAAATGTTCAGAGAAGCTTCTCTAGAAATGACCTATAGACATGATCCCTGAAAATACAGTCTTAATCTTCTTCTTTTCACCGGCCTGGTGGTACTCAGATCAAGGACTACAGACACCAGACAGGCCTGAGGTCACTTGGCTTATGAACAACAGAGCTGGGACCTGAAGGCAGGGATCCTAACGCCAGGCCAATGCTGTCCACCACATCCTGCTGCTTGCATCTCCTTCTTCAAAGAGCTCGTAAGCATTGCCCCTTCTGTAAAGCTTTCCAAAGTCACTTTGCCTTCCAAACCTGCCCACTATAGACAGAGCTACTCAGAAAAAGAAATTATGTTTACAATTAGCAGTTAATTTCTCAACTTCTCTTACACAGAAGAGCTACTGAGCCAAACTGAAAATAGAAAAGCAGAGTCGTTTGAACAGCTTTGAACTAAGAATCAATCCTACATTTCAGATCTACCCCTATTCTTACATTGTTTACGTCACGTTGGCCAGAGGGGCAATATAATTTAGTAATAGAATGAGGGGTCTGGAACCAGTCTGCGTTGGCTGAAATCATGGTTCTGCAGTTTCCTAACTCCATCTTTGGCAGATTATTTCTCTGTGACTCAGTTTCCTCATCCACAAAATAGGAATCATAACAATCATAGCATTGTAATAAGGATTAAATGTCAGTGAATTTACAGCACTGCTGATAGAGGCACATTCTAAGTGTTATTATCATTTCACCCCTCCATTCATCCTTCTCGTTAGGTTTCTTCTCGTTAGGTTCCTACAGTTACAGGAATTAGGTAGTTTTAGAATTCACCAAAAGTATAGATAATTATGGAAATCTTGGGGGAGAGATTGGAGAGAAGGGAATTGGAAATATGAAAAATATGTAATTCTCCTTTATTACAAAAAAACCCTGCAGTGACCACATGGTATAATACATGCAAAAACAAATGGTGGGTGAACCATGAAGTATATGTAGCTTAAGTGGCAACATCCCTCCCTTACAAAGCCTCTTCCATGGCGCTGTCCTAACTTCATATTTATAGTTTGGTATTTTCTGTTTTAAAAGGGATCCCAAAAATTGTATGAACCTCAGGCTCAAACAAAACAAAACAAAACAAAACTAGATCTGCTCCTGTTCAGATGCATTTTAAGTAATACTTCATTTTATTTTCAAATGCCAGAAATTATTCCTAGTGGTCTTGGCTTGTGCCTACAAGGGGGGTCCCGCCAAGTGGAGGAAAAGTTATTCTAGACCCTTGTGAAGCAAAGTTCATGGACTAACGTCAGTTAGTTCTTCAGGACTCAATGCAAATCCCTGATGTGTCAGGAGACCTTACACCCTGGTTAGAATGCTGGACTTGGTGGGGGAAGACTAACTGAAGGAGTGGAGAGGTTAAATCACATGTTGGTAAAGTACAAGGTAAAAAATAGACCCCAGTTAAGATTAAGTATGAGCCTGTAATCCCAGCACTTTGGGAGGCCGAGGCGGGTGGATCACGAGGTCAGGAGATCGAGACCATCCTGGCTAACACGGTGAAACCCCGTCTCTACTAAAAATACAAAAAATTAGCCGGGTGTGGTGGCGGGTGCCTGTGGTCCCAGCTACTCGGGAGGCTGAGGCAGGAGAATGGTGTGAACCCGGGGGCAGAGCTTGCAGTGAGCCGAGTTTGCGTCACTGCACTCCAGCCTGGGCGACACAGTGAGACTCTGTCTCAAAAAAAAAAAAGATTAGGTATGAATTTTACTCCAGCCTCCAGGAATTGAGACAGAGGAAGGGAGCAGATTCAGATCACAAATATGGTCAGGTGACAAGGATTGAATGAGGTTGAATCAGGGGTACAAGATACAAGGTTTAAGTTCAAAATCAGAACAACAGTCATGAAACACAATTCCCCAAACTGAATTCAAAATGTAAAGTTAGGTCCTAAGTAAGAAGGAAATTGGGTCAAGCAAATTGAAAAACAGGATTCAAGCTGAGAGAGGAAGACTCAGGTGGGCTGGTGCCCAGAGGGTACAGGCGTGGAGGCACAGACTTCCTTGACAGGGGAGCAGCGAGCAGCCTGCTGCGGAAGGAAGCCAAAGACTTGTATCTTACTCTGAGCACAGTCAGGGAACAGGCCCTGAGGTGTACCCCAGACGCCAGACAGCCTCTGATAGTCCCTGATTAACATGCACACTAACTGGGGACTGGTTGTACCTAGAGTTTAGATGCTTAAGGAGTTTTTGTAGGGTAGAGATCAAATAGGTGTATTTGCATTAAAACCCAAATCAGTATTCCCTGCAGTGAAAATCATTTCAGGCAACACATCTGAACCTCTACTCCTCTCTCCATCTCTGCTGATGTGAACAGGAATCACTGACTAGCATGCAAACAGAGGGATGTAATGTGGCAAGACTGCCTGCAACTGTCAAAGCTATTGCTGTCCTTCTGGGAGGAAAAATGTGTTCCCTCTGGACTCAAACTCCTCTTGGCCTTTGACGACAGCATTTGGTCACTTCTGTGAAACCCAGGAGTAGACAACAATGGATGGCATTCCTCAGTGTCAACCCCATGGCAAAATAAAGTTGCTTATGAAGCCAGGAGCTGAGAATATCCTGAGTTCCCTGCACCATGCTATGCCACAATGCCAGGCTGTTCTGATGCCCTTTAATCATTAGTGCTGTCCGGGTCTGTTTAGTAAACCACAAATGCTGTTCCATCAGGAAGTATGATGTCAGCTTCTCCAAAAAGGATGAGTAAGAAAATAATTTGGAGAAGCAGTGCAAGTTAAGGAGTTGAACTCCTGTTAGACATCTACTGTGCCCAGCATTGCACCAGGTGTGGTAGTAGGAGGTACACAGAAGAAAGCAACAGATGATACCTGCCTTCAAAGGACTTGTACACTAGTTAATCATAAGGCAATTTGTTTAATGTCTCATTTGGTATGCCATGAACACAGGGCATAGGACCCACAAGTGTGAATATATCATGCATTATCCCTCTTCGAAAAGCAATACATCACCATAGAGAAATGAGATCTTTGTAGTAAGAGTAATAAAGTAAAATATTTCATCTACAATAACTAGAATAGCCTCTTGTTAGACAAGGGCCTTTAGGTGTCACAAATTTTAGATCATGACAGTTTATATAAGGAGGCTGAAAAGCACTCTTGAAGAATAAATATATTTTCTATGGCATCTGTCACTATAGTTATAGAGATTTGAAACCTCAGCAGCCTACACAATAATGACACATTAAAAAGATTAAGTTCTACATGGAAAAATGCATTCACATTCTTCATACAAAGCTGTACTCAGATACGCCATTCAATCTGAAAAACACAGCTAAAAGTTCGGCAAGCCTTCTTTGTTATGCATTTACTGCTAAAACAATCAATGTGGGAATTGCCAGATTATACTATTTCATTTCTGTCTGTATGTGTGTCCACATGAGCACTGAAGAAGAACAGAATTCTATTGCTGGAGTTTCTTCTCACCAGGCATGAAGTCTTATAAATGCTATATATTTGATGGGATGACTATGAACATGACGAATGAAATCCAAATGCAGTCTCTGTACTCCAATCCAAATACAACAGTTTATTGTGACCAGGTATAAGAACATTTTGGTCTTCAGTAATATATGCAGAAGTTGGTCAGCCTAACCTATGTAGAGTCAACCAATCCAATCAAATATAAAATATTCACCTTTCAGGAATTCTGCATAAATCAAATTATTCTTTCCATCCTTCATTGTTTGCTAAATACCTATTACATGAAAGCTGCAGGCCTAGGTACTATTGGGAATGCAAAGATGAAGAGAAATAGTCCTTTATTTCAAAAAGCATATAGTCTGATATGGCAGACAGATGAGACACATAAGTAACTATAATATTAGACATAAAGTGACTATAATACCAGGTAGAAGTAAAACATGCTCTAAGAAAAACCACATGGGACAAAGGGAACTGGAAGGAAGAAGGTACTTTTCTAAGTAGGTAAATGAAAGATACTTTTCTAAGTAGGTAAATGAAGGAGATACTTTTCCAAGTAGGTAAATGAAATGAAGGAGATACTTTTCTAAGTAGGTAAATCATACAGGGATTGGCAATAGTTTTGGATCTTGAAGGACTGGAGAAGGACCAGAGGCTGCTCCAGACAAGAATGCACAAACAAAGGCCTGCAGAGCCACATGGAAGTGAACACTTGTAAGAAATATGGAGAAGCTCAGTAGCAGCACCATACAGAGTGAAAGAAACGAATGCTATTATATTAATAGAAAGGCAACTAGTGTCAGATTATAGACAGCCTGGGCTGTAGGCCAAGAAATGTATAGTAAATACAAAAGATTAATTCAGAAAGACCTAGGGGACACATAAGCAATTCATCACACATTGCAGAAATATATTGATTATGCAAATACACTACTCATTAACATTACTTAGGTATAAAGGGGTAAATATAGGGTAGCTTAATTCAGGGAGAAAGGTATGATCTGTCTTTTAATGATTGAGGGTATTAAGTGGATTTTAGATGGTACCATAAAATCCTGAATAAAGTGTAACTAAAACTAGATTCTGTGTGCATGATAATGACACAATCATCCTTGTCACACAATAGAAGGTAGAAGAGAAATTTTAAGTTAAATCTGAGAAAGAGGCAAATTTGAGAACGGAGAGGTCCTGAAATACAGAGAAATTTATTTTATAACATTATGGTTTTTAAATTATTGCCTAGGTTTACCAAAAAATAACAATTATCCAGCTAATATGCCAATTACAACTGAGCAATCCAGTGAAACAATAGAAATAAAAGCTTCATCACTTGGCCAGCAGGTGGCACTTGTCACTCGGTATAGAAAACAGCAGGTAATGTGGAATGAAGCTGAAAGTAGTTAGAAACAGATTACTTATTCATCTATTCAAAAGGATAAAGATGGGGATGGGTTGTATTCAGAAGCACAATTTATAACAAGGATCTTGGCTTGTTGACATAGCTTATCAATTACATGGAGGACAACCCCTTTAGTCTATAAAATGCACCACAGGTGACAGATCTTGAATTTGAGCTCTCCTATTAGGTTTACTGAACTTAGGTATTTCCCTTAACAAATATGATTTGCAATATATAAGTTTGTTGCTACTGTAAATGTTCTTATGTCCTTTTTGTCTGTATTTTTCCTATAAGACTGCGAGAAATATGGTGCTGGAATTGGGCAAAAAGGAAATAAATTCCAACTTCACCATTTAAAGTTACGTGCTTTGATTAAAATTATTTTTAACTTTTTTGGATTTCACTTTCCTCTTTGTTAAAATAGATATAACTAGCTGGAATGTTGTAGGAATTAAATAAGATACCATGTGGAAACGATACCTTTAGATCTAGCTACTTCATTTTCTCCTATGGGACAACATCTAATAATTAGGATAACTCTCTTACCATCTAATCATTAGATACCCATAGAACCTAAAATCCAGAAAGATTTTTGATTTACCTGGTCAACCTTTCATTTTCCAGATCAAGATGCCTGCTACCATTAAAGCTGAAATGCAAGAGAGTTAAGAGATAGGGTGTGCAGGTTTAGGTCATTTTTATATTCACTACACAGGTCTGGTCAATGGATAAGTGGTCATTGGGAGTGGGATGGAGGAAGAGAAAACAGGAGGTGGGCAAATAATAATTACATGGCATATATTGTATGATTCTGTGATACTGAATGGGTGAATGGACACCAAAAATAGACATACAGTGAATCATAGTAATAAACTAGCCAGTTCTTGATTTTTTCAGTGATGTCTAGCCTATATTTGAAACTGAATGGGGCCAATGATGGCCTGTTTTTCTAGCTTTCCCATCCTTTCTTATCTCACATTCCAAAACTACTTCTAAAGGGTTTTAGAATGAGGACAGGAAATTTACACTGAACATTGCATGGTTTTTAGTCTTAGTTTTGACATCAGATAAATATCACCAAAACATAGTTTCTGAACATGTTCATGGATTATTTTTGTGAAAGGAGGAATCAAGGTCATCTTTCAGAGGTCTTCTGTTCAGTAATTACCATATTATAACTATATGGGAGTTGCATCATTGTAACAAGTCACACCATTTTTAAAAGAGAGATGCCACACAAATACTGAGTTTAATTTTTAAAATATGAAAGCTTAACATGTAATTTAAGTGACTGGTTCCATGAAAGAACAAATCAGTGTTCAGCTCCAAGTGTTCCTTTAGGTTGTTTTTCTCACCTGAAATGCCCTATCCTTTTCCCTCTATTTATCCTAAATAGACTTCAAGATACAAGTATCACTTCCCCTATATAACTTTCTTTGGTTTCTTTTTCTTTTTTCTTTTTTTTTTTTTTTTTTTTTTTTTTGAGACAGAGTCTCATCTTTCCCCCAGGCTGGAATGCAGTGGCGTGGGCTCACTGCAACTTCTGCCTCCCAGGTTCAAAGGATTCTCCCACCTCAGCCTCTGAAGTAGCTGGGATTACAGGCGTGAGCCACCACACCCAGCTAATTTTTTGTATTTTCTGTAGAGATGATGTTTCACCATGTTGGCCAGGCTGGTCTCAAACTCCTGACCTCAAGTGATCTGCCCATCTCAGCCTCCCAAAGTGCTGGGATTACAGGTGTGAGCCACCATGCCCAACACCCCTATATAACTTTCTTTGATTGAAGCTGCCCTCACTATCTCCTGCAGTAAACTTCTATTGCAGTGTCAGTTACAATAAGAAAACACATGTGAATTAATATTACTTTATAGTGGTTGCTCATTTTTAAATAGCTGTTAGACTTGATCCACAAAAAGACTGTATAATATCTGACGGCATGTTTTACTTATTGATTCAACTACCTATTGAGTACCTGGTATATGCCAGGCACTGTTTTGGTTAATACAGATTCACAGTAAGTAAAACCAACACTACCCCTGCTCTCACAGAACTTACATTTTGGTATTACAGATACTCTGTATTTCCCATAATTCCCAGCCTGGGACAGACCTGAGGGCAAGTATGTGCTCAATGATCACCTCAAAATTAACTGGTTGCCTTTGGTTCAGTGAACCACAACCCAAAGCTTTCCTTGGTTACCACAAAAGCAGGGTCAGTTACAAGCCCTGAGTACCAGAAAGTATGTAAAAGATGTTAGGAATCTTTTCACAAAAAGATTTTGTAAAATCTTCCTTTTGCAAAAGGAAAAAGGAGGATGGAGTGGATTCTTATGTCCTTTGAAGTACTGGCAGTGAATTTCTATATAAGTACTGCTAAATTTCTTTGTTTACATTTGAAACAAACTGGATCTATAACCTTGGCTTAAATCTTATGAAAAAAAATCAACTACCAACAAAAAAGAATAAACAGAACTGTTGGCCCAAATCTGCTATTCCACCAGCTGCCATCAGATTCTCTACCTCAATGATGAACACAACATCCAATTCTAAACAAACAACAAGCTAATTAAGTCTTGATGATTGGCATTATTAGTATACTGGGGTTGGCTATCACTGCTATAGAAAAGAAAAACAATGTCCAGAGATGGCAATAAAGATGCAATCAATTCATAATGTGCTGAATGCCTTCACAAAGCTACCAAGTGTGGTAAATAAGAAACAAAATTAAAATATTTCATAACAAAAAGATCTGAATGTACCTAATTATTTATTAAAAGTCTGTGAAACCTTTATTTCTGACTTTTGTCTGACAAGAAACCATGACTAAAGGCCTTAAAAACTGTAGAAAGTTGAGCTACTTTTTGGAGGTGGGGAGTGCTTAGGAGAATGTGTTTCCAAAGTGACTCTCAGTATCTTTCCAAGAGAGACCCTAAGACTCCAGGGTAAAAAGGAAAGCTCTGGTTTCTTTGGTTGTAATCTCAGGTGGTATCTGACTTGCACTGCAGAACCCTAGCAAGCTAAGTGAGGTAAAAGAGTAATCTTCTATGAGCCCAGGAAAACACTTACTATAAGCTGCTACAGCTGGGGAGCTTAAATCCCACTTCATCATTGAATTTTCTATTTTAATAAGCATTTTATTTCCTGACATCTATAGAAGTGTCCACACATTTGGACATATGCTACAACTGCTATTTGAGGAAGCCAACAGGCTTCACATTTAAAAAATGATGAATTTATGTGCTAAATCTATAGAGGTTTAATTATTAGTCAAGAAAATAAAATAATTTTTCTACATGCCACATTTTCTTACACTCGAAATTGTCATGGTTACCTATGTTGATTGATAGTAATGTTTTATTTATTGAATTTTCTTAACAATTAAATATGCTTTGACTTTCTAAGTTAATAGGTTAATGTTTTTTAAAAGAACTCTTTACCTTAAAACCCTCCCTCAGGGAAGAATGAAATAAAAACAGCCTAACCTTTGGAGTTACACAAATTTGTGTTGCGCCTTGACCACATGACCTTGGACATGCTGACTGACTCTATAAGGTTCTATGTGCAGCTGTGGAGTAGAAATAAATGTCCCTATTTCTCACATGCATTGTCGTATAGATGGGCTTAGATATCACATATACAGTATTTTTTTTTTTTTTACAAAACTCACCCTCTAGAACAGGTCTTAGATCCAAAATTAAAAGATGTCAAAAAGGACAGGAAAAAGATTATACACATTTTATTGTGTAAACCACTTTAGTCAATTTGCACATATGAAACCAACAGTTAAAGAGTCACAGTAGAATTAGGGAGGAATTAATCACAACTCACCTGTGGCTGCTGTTCTGCCAGTCTATTTTGATACTTTATGACCGACTCTCTAAGTTGCTTCTCTTTCTCATTTTTTGATGGTGATATTGTGCTCATGGTGCCCAGTGGGATGGAAGGTAGACATTCTACCTGATGACAACTTCAGAATCAACAAGTACAAGATTAACATCAGGAGAAATATAAAACTACTTACTGTCTGTAAAAGACGATTTACTTCTACAAGGAGTTACTCTTTATGTCATATATCCAAAATTCAAATAGGAAGGAAAAGCATTGTATCCGTGGCTTTCGATAACAAATAACCTTACATCTCCAATTTGCATGGAAAACAGCCTAATAAAAAATGTGGACAGTACCATATATTAACGAGGATGGGAAAGCATCAATTATATTGCTAATGCTTCACTTATTCTACATTATCATAAAATGAGGCCTTTTGCAAAAATTATTTTAGATCACTGAGCTTATCTCATCACTGCCATTTCCCCCCCCAAAAAAGGTAGCGAAATATATATGTCTCTTTAAAATATAGCAAATAATTATGCCTCTGAAACATATGGATTATCTGTTTAATAACCCCAGGATCACTGTGAAGACCCGTGACTACCCGTGATGTGATGTAGGATTCAGCAATAGCCTTGGGAGGTAATGAGATGCGTTAAAGCCCCTTCCCCAAATCGCCCACTGGTCCTGATGGCAGCATCCTGCCCAAGTGCTCTGCTGTCGTAAGAGTATCTGCTTTCCAGCCTTACAGATATGCTGTTCTAATAACTTGTGGGTTAGTAAATACATAATAATGTAGGATGATTTGTAAATGAACAATAAACAGGCTATGGATGAGCACATTCCTTGTTAAAATTACAAAAAAATACTAATAACCCTCAAAGCATATGGTTTGGAAGGTTTGAGGCCATTTTTCCTTTTCTTACTTTTGTTTTTGTGGTTATGTACTGGGGAACTGAGTCAGCCAAACTGCTGAAAAAATAAGATATTATTTTGTTCACTTCGGTATCAAGGCTTGATACAGACAAGAAGTTCAGCTCCCACTGGGCATAGCTTTGATTCAGGGCATGGAGGGGAAGGAACACGCAGTAGTGTCGTAAGACGCTGAGGTCAGTTCTTCGAGCCCACTCTAGGTCACAGAGTTTTCTATTATTGATTAGGGGTAGGGAGGGGAGGAGTTCCACTGAGCTACCAAAAAGAGGAGGGACAAAGTCCACAGAAAATACATGGGTGTTAGGCCAGGCAAGGGAGGAGGAGGCTGAGGATCGAGAGAGGACTTTCTCCCATCTGAAACAGTGAGGGAAAAGGGAGGCAGATGAGACCCATCACTTCTCTGTTCTTCAGGGCTGCAGCATATATTTTTCTCGCCCCATACCAACAGAGAAGAGTTAGGAACTACAATCAAATTCAGGTACTACTGTGAAAAAACACTTAATTCCACCCACATATGGTGTTTGTTATTATCGTTATTTTCAAAGAAAGGTGTTAGGTAAACAAATTCTAGGGACAACTTCTATATATACAGCAACCCACAGTGTTGATTTGAAGACATCTGTGGGGTGGCATCTATACAGGCTTCTACTTCATTTCAGAAAAGAACCTGTGACAACATTAAGTTTTTATTCAGAAGGAAGAAACCTCAAGCATTTTATTAGAATGCAATTCATTCAACTGTCTTCATTTAAAGATGTTTGGAAATGAATTACACTTTAATATGCAATACAATCCATAAATATTTTTTAACATCCTTTTCAAAATTCAGACATTTTTGGTTCAGCCAAGTAATAGGCATCATTTTTTCTCTGCTGGTAATCCCTATTTTCAATGCAGATAAGTGCATGGTATGAATGTAATGGAAGCAAACTGATGGCTATTTCTCAGATACTGTGTCAAAAATGTATAGCCTCCCTCTGTGCTTGAAGTGGAAAACAAAACCAGGCTCCAGTGGTTTGAAAAAAGAATGGCTCCACCTTACCCTCTCCGGGTATTACTGAATACTACCATTTGTAAGATGTATTTTGTCCACTAAAAAGTATCTGAATGAAACTAGGCTTCCTGAAATGGAGAAGGATGCCTTCCAACAGACAATGTGATAAGGCAGGAAGAGTACAGGTTTTGCATCAGAAACTTGGCTTCCAGTTTCAGCTGTAGTGAAGAATTCTGGGCAAGTCACTAATCCTTTCTTAGCCTCTCTATTTTCTTCTCTGAGAAATGGGGAAAGTTCATAGGCCTTTTATAAAAATGGAATGAGCATATATAATTGCAAAGTAAGAGAAAGTTATTACTATGTTTCCAGCCCAAGTTCTAGTTACACATTGTTCATTCAAATGCTGTCTGTTGGTAATGGCCTTGCTGACAATTGGCAAATAACTACTGACAAGAAACCGTATTTTCTGTAAATATAGACAATGACACTTTTCACCCCATTACTCCGTCCTGCTACTCACAGACTATTCCCTAATAAATAATTATACTTGTCATCACTTTAATACACTTATTTTAAGTGATTCTATCCAAGTCCAATGGCACATATGTCAGGGGTTTTGCCTAGCAATAATGTATTTTGAAGCATATTCTCAAGGTATAGATGGCCCATCCTACCATTTTGAATCAAAGAACTGAGCAAGGTCATCAGAACAATTTCTTCCCCCTCCCTGGGAATCATCATATCTACATCACTGTTAAGGAGCTCCCATGAAGGAAGTGCCAAATCTCAATTAACTGCCCTTTTAATCAATTTTGCTTTACATCTCCCCTAAATTTCTTGCTGCCACTTTAAGCATATTTTTGTCACAATCTTTTCAGTGAAAATAAAACACAGATGGTTAATATCATGTCAGTATATTTAAAGAATCAAGGACTTAAGAAAATTATAAATATAAGAAAACTTTTTTGCACTTTAGACCTTTAAGGTCCATCAGTTTTCTGTCAACATGGCTAAATTTATCTAGCCACTCATCACAAGTGGCACTGTTTTTACGTGTAAAAGAGACAGAATTAAATCAATAAGATCTTGTATTTGATAGCGCAAGGTGACTACAATCAGCAATAGCTTATTATACATTTTATAACTAAAAGTATTATTTGAAACATTCTAACACAAAGAAATGATAAATGCTTGAAGTGATGAATACCTCTATTTACCCCGATGTGATTATTACATACTATATGCCTTATCAAAGTATCTCATATACTCACAAATATATATACATATCATGTACTCATACAAATTAAAAATTAAATTTTTAAAGAGAGACAGAATTAATACAGCTTTGAAACCAATTTTACAATGCTCTGAGGTGGTACTGTTACTTTTCAGAAGGGGGTGAGTCTGTGCCAATGCAGGGACAACAGTAAGTTGAAGGTAAGGGAAACTGCAGACGACAGCTTCCCAGTTCTGTAGGTCTGAGAGTGCCCAAGACTGGTCTAAGAAATCCTAGGGATAGGGTTACATCTGTGGGAAGTAGCCTAAATTCTGGGATCAAGGGCCTCTAGTGACCAGGGACTTTCAGCAGATTGTCCTAACTATGGGGCTTAGCTGGATCCAGAGAAGATGCATAAAGATCCTATAATTATACCACATTCCAGTGTATGGGAAGCTTAGTTAAAGGGAGGTTATGTAATTTCTGAGATTTCACAGCTAATAGAACCAGGAGTCAAACCCAGGCAGTCTGTCTCCAGAGTCTGAACTCTAAATACAATCCTAGACTATATGAAAGTTCTTAGTTCATGGTAAGTTCATATGATTAACTATTCTTAATATTGAAACTGAGCCAACACTTTGTTCCTATTTGGGAGATATTTAAGTCCCAAGTTGGGGATGAACGCAGGTTAGGAAACAGAAGATCTTGGCCAGTGGCTTCATACATAGGTTTCTTAGCCTGGATTTGCGTTTTAATTCTCATTTTTCCAAAATAAAGAAGAATAGAACAGTGTTTTATAATCACGGTCCCTGGAGCTCTAGGCTTTCTGCAGAGTAGGGAACAGAAATAAAAAGTGGATACCTTAGGTTCCCAGCCTCTAATTCAATCAGGACAGTTTTGCATTTATCTACTTATTTTTGGGTTCTGTGACAAGTTTTTATTTGGGAAAAACAAGGTTGCATTGCAAAACAAGAAAGGGATACGAAAAAACCTGGGCCATGAGAAATCTAAGACCCTTTGCCACCTCTGACATTTTTCTTCAGTCTCTAAATATAAATAACCTGAGGACTCTAGATGAAAGGGGTTTTAGCAGCAGTTTCCAAATGTTTTCTTTTTCTTTTATCTTTTTGCTCTTCTTTTTCAGAGCTAGATAAAAAAATAACCAAACAGGAGTTATTACCCTAATGTCTATATTAAAAATATTGATTCACGTATCCAGCTCAAAGGACTTAGAACAGACTGCATGGAAAAGCAATGCTTGACTTAGGGGTGCTTTTGTTAAAGGGGAATACTAACCATTTTCCCTATGGGGGAAAATATTAGTCTAAAAGGGCTTGTAATAACATTGACATCCTTCAATATTTAATCAGTCTTTTTCCTGTTTTAGTCTGAACTTTTTCCTCCAAGAGTGTAAAGCAATGAAATCAATATATGATTTAAGCAGAAAAAGCATACGGTCTAACAGTTTAATGCCCCTGGAGACACTCTCTGAGTAACACTCCTGTACAATAAGGACATATGTTGTATGAAAATGAACTGGAAGGAAGAACTCTTAAGTACCAGGTTGTGGTCTCCCATGGGTGGAAGTGCAGAGCTGCTCACCCCAACGTCTTCAGATAGTTACACCCAGATTTCTATTACTTGATGGAAAAGCACGCCAATGAAATAATCTTTGCACAGGTAGCAGGGCATTAGAAAGAGTTTGAAGAGATACCAGATACTAAGCTAAAATCTATATTATAGATTGACATTTTCAAGGTTCATACATATGAACTTTAGAAATTAAAAATGAATAAAGAATTTTAGAAAATAATCAAAAATACCTGTTTTCCAAGCGGTTGGGATTATTAGCACAAATCCAAATGTCAAAAAATTCTTTTTCCTGATAATTAGTAGAGGAAGGCAAGACTCTCCATTTAAGACAAAGATCTGACAATCAAAACAAAATGACACAGAAAAGAGATCAGAAATGAATCTATCATAGTAAGATGTCAGTTTGCACATATCAAAAGTATGAGGTATCTCTCAATCCAAAGACAACTGAATCCTTCATCATATACCATTATTCTTGATGACACATCTATTCTAGGGTTCTATGAGCTACTTCAAGACCCCACCAACAAGTTATTATTATTATTATCTCAGTTCCCTCCAGTTAGTTTCTGCTACTTTCAGCCAAAAGAACCTTAAATAATACATCCACTTCACCTCTTCTAAAACCAAATTAATAATTTCAGTGACTTGACTCTCCCATTTTCTCTGACCTACTACCTGTCTGCTGACAATACCACTTTCTGTCTCCAACTACATGATTAACATAAGAAGGAAAACCATGATCTCAACTAGTATAAAATTAAACTGAAAGAAAGAAAGAAGGAAAGCAAGAAAGGAGGAAGGAAGGAAGGAAGGAAGGAAGGAAGGAAGGAAGGAAGGAAGGAAGGAAGGAAGGGAAGTTAGTTTTTTGAACCATATACACATTTTCTTCTGTACTTTCTTCTGTTCTTATTCCCCTCTCCAGTCTATAGTTTCTGATTTCTTCACCCACTTTCCAAAACAGTCCTTCCTTGCCTTTAGGACGAAGGCACACTTCCCTCTCCAGGCTACACTTACATTTAATCCTGAATTCCCTCCAGACACACTGCTAACGGCTCGTAGGTTAACACTTGTCCCTTTCATCTAAGGCAGAGAGAGTCAGTACACACAAAGGTTAAGAACTTGAACAGCTCCACCTCTTACCACCTCTATGATCTTGGACAAATTATTTAACTGCTTATATTTCAGTATCATTATCTATTAAAAGATTAATATTATATTAGTACTTATCTAAAAGTTACTGAGAATGAAATGACATCCTCCTCCTCATCATCATCATAAAAACCAACACTGCTAGACACTATCCTTAGCACTTAGTAAACTTTATTAATTCACATTATTCTCAAAACTCTATAATGTAGCTACAAGTACTAATCTCATTTCATAAAAGAAGAAACTGAGACTTAAAGAAGTTAAACAATTTGCCCAATTTTGTATAGCTCTTGAGTACTGGAGATTGGATTCTAACAGTACCTGGTACAAATCAAAATCACAGTAACTGTTATCCATTATTATTAGCATGTGACAGGCTGTCACATACTGTCATCAATTTCCTCAATTATACCTTCTAAGTAACTGTCTTTTAACTCTCACTGCCACACCTTCATTCAGACATTTATAATTCGTCACCTGGATCCTAGATTACAACAATAGTCTCCTGTTCTAGCCCTTCACCAAGTCATCCTTCACTGAGCTGCCAGAACAACTTTAACTACAAGTTACCTCTGACCAGTCAGGTCTTCCTTGGAATACTCCTAGGCAAAAGGCTGCGGAGGTGCTCCCCGAGAGCTGTATAAATACTTCTACAGAGTTTTACACACTATAGGCTGCTTTTTTGTTTGCTCGTCTGTTTTTCTCTACTGAGCTGTTAGTTACAGATATTAGAGACTGTCTTTAACTCCCTGCCCCTTTGTGTAGTGGCTAGAAAACATATCAGTAAGTGCTGAATGTAATTATCCTCCTATGGAAAAAATTCCAATACCTCCTGCTTGCTTATCAAAGTAAAACCTTATCCTGACATTCAAGAATCTCTAACACCTTTACCCAACCTAATACTTTTGTCTTATTATTTATTCATTGTTCAGTGATTCAGTTGTCAGTTACTAAATTCCTACTATGTATTAAATAGTGTTACATATTAAAAATAGAAAGATGGCTCTTTCTATTACTATTTCACAAACATTTTAGCTGAAGTGTACACCTGATATTAATTCACATTTCTCTACTCTTCATCTCTGCCTATCAAAATTCTATTTTAATTAATTAATTTATTTTTTTGAGACAGGGACTCACTGTGTTGCCCAGGGTGGAGTGCAGAGGCACAATCACAGCTCACCACAGCCTCAACCTCCCAGGCTCAAGCGATCCTCCCACTTCAGCCTCTCAAGTAGCTGCGACCACAGGTGTGCACTATCATGCCTGGCTAATTTTTGTATTTTTTGTAGGGGTGGGGTTTTGCCATGTTGCATAGGCTGGTATCAAACTCCTGAGCTCAAGCAATCTACCCACCTCAGCCTCCCTAAGTGCTAGGATTATAGGCATGAGCCACCATGCCTGGCCTGAAACTAGTTTAAAGACTATCACAAATGCTACTCCATCATAGAATCTTGCCTCTACTCCCCCATCCTTTTCTTTGAACCCTCAAATAATTATTTGTCTCTAGTATATCACTTACCTTATTTTTCCCTGTATTACAATTATTTTCACACTTATAACTTTCTTCCAGACTGTAAACTCCTGGAAAGCAAGATGTCTTACCTTTGTCTCCCTCATCCCTCATTTCTTAACACAATGACTTGCATATTTAAGAGCCCTTAACATTTGGTAATTATAATGGACTTCAACACTCACCACATTGTATGATGAATGGGATACCCATGGCTTGTCTTCTTTGATATTGAAAAGAATTTAAAGGTTTCTCCACATCGATGTCATTCTGGTATCCAAATTCATTGCAAAACAATGTTAAATTTCTATTATCTTTTAAAAAAAAAAGCAGGCAAAGAATAACAAAAAAAAATCATTAAAATCAAAACAATTGGCAAAGGGAAGTTTGTATATACAATATGATCTCAACTGTGTAAGTATTAATACATATACAGAAATAAGAGATTAAAATATCAATATTGGTTGTCTCTGAATAGTGATATGATGAGTGAAAACTATTTTCTGCTTTAGTCTTTTTACATTTTCCAAATTATATGCAGTAAATCTGCAATATCTTTATAATAAAAATAAATAGCATGTATTTTAAAAGTTATGTGTTTATGCAATAAAACATATTGACATTTAAAGCATTGTTCTTAAGCATTCCCAGGAAAGACTGTACTGATTAAACTTTAAAGGGCACTCTTAAAATTATTGATAGAAATATTTATCTTTCTTATCTCACAGACAGAGGTGGGGTTTTTAATCTTTATTTTATCTCTGGTTCCTTTTCTCTCCAGTCTTTATTGTTTATGCACTATCCTATCCCCAAATTGTGTATTTCCTCCTTGCTTGAAAACACTACTCATCATGGAGGACTGTTAGAGAGTCGTTTTGTTCTTATTCTTTGATCCAGCAATTATACTGTTAGGAATTATCCTTACACACATACATAAGTTGCCATGTATATTATAGCATTGCTCGACTAGTAAAAAGTTGGAGATAATGTAAAAGCATATGAATAAAGAACTGACAAATTCTGTTCCCCAAAAATGGAACAGTGGGAAACCTTTAAAACGGAGGAAGTAGAGCTAAATGTAGTGTTGCATCAAGATCTCCAAGTTAAAGTTTTAATTTTTTAAAAATATATATATATCAAAGAGTATCCCTAGTGTAATCACTTTATGTAATGTATGAAAAGCCTGTCCATATAAAATTGCGATGCACATTTTCCTGAATGGATACAAAAGAAAGTTTTAACAGTGGATATCTTTAGAGCAGAAAGAGAGGTGGAGAGGAAGGCAAGGGAAAATACTTTTACTTTTCACTTTTTATTTTTCTTAGCACTTTGAGTATCTGTACATGTGCATATAAAATTTAAAGAAAAAAAAAGAATCCATGTTTGACTGTTTTGTCCAATATGATAACCACTAACCATGGTACCAGCCTTACAACAACCTTAACATACGGCTATGTAATCCATGAAAAATGCAAATAAATGACCTAACACTTTATTATTCCTGTTAAAATTTTGGCTCAGGGTGCTATGGGGCTTAGAGATCAGCAGAGAAAGAACTCAGCTTTCAAAAGGGTCTTCACAGTTGGGCTGGGCTAAGCAGACCTCACAAATTCTCAGGTCTGCCCTCTTGTCTCTTCACAAAATCCCCAGCTGCTCTTGCTCCAAATTTTCCTTTGGATTTGGCTTTTGGGGCTTTTAATTCAGACTTTCAGTTTCTTCTCTTGGCCCAGTATTTGGTTTTTGTGGAGAATCAAGCAATTCCATCTTAAATACTAATCTGCCGTGTTGACTTATGATTAACCCCTGTTCTGGAAATGCCTCTAAAATTTCTACTTTATCTACTGTTACTGTAAATCCTTCCCTTAGGTCAAAACAACCCTTGACCATAAAACCTGGAATTAGGTAGATTCACATTGCATTCTTACAATTCACTGAGGGGTTGACTTCAATTGTCCTACACATTCTTTCCCTACGGTTTTTAAGTCCTGGGTCTGGGGGTTAATGGCACAGGGATCCACCATTCTTATCTCACCACAGCCTAAGACATAGCTTTTGTTCCTAAGACCCTATTAAATGTTTCTTTCTAAGAAACTGGATTTGTCAGCCTCTTTCTTCGGCCTCTCAGCTTCCTTAGCCTTTGAGGGTAGCGTCACATGGACTTGTTAACAGTGGAACTGTCTTGGTTCATCTCATACTCTTCTTCTCTGTACACCAGCTCCTGATGTACTACTCCCTGGTATCTAGAAGGGTTGATGAGGTTTTGCTTCTCTGATTTCTTTCTATGTGTTTGTGTGTTTTTAATTATACTTTAAGTTCTAGGGTACATGTGCACAACGTGCAGGTTTGTTACGTAGGCATACATGTGCCATGTTGGTTTGCTGCACCCATCAACTCGTCGTTTACATTAGGTATTTCTCCTAATACTATCTCTCTCCCAGCTCCCCCACCCCCTGACAGGCCCTGGTGTGTTATGTTCCCCTCCCTGTGTCCAAGTGTTCTCATTGTTCAATTCCCACCTATGAGTGAGAACATGAGGTGTTTGGTTTTCTGTCCTTGTTATAGTTTGCTCAGAATGATAGTTTCTGGCTTCATCCATGTCCCTGCAAAGGATATGAACTCATCCTTTTTTATGGCAGCATAGTATTCCATGGTGTATATGCGCCACATTTTCTTTATCTAGTCTATCATTGATGGACATTTGGGTTGGTTCCAAGTCTTTGCTATTGTGAATAGTTCCTCAGTAAACATACATGTGCATGTGTCTTTATAGCAGCATGATTTCTAATCCTTTGGGTATATACCCAGTAATGGGATTGCTGGGTCAAATGGTATTTCTAGCCCTAGATCCTTGAGGAATTGCCACACTGTCTTCCACAATGGTTGAACTAATTTACACTCCCACCAACAGTGTAAAAGCATTCCTATTTCTCCACATCCTCTCCAGTGTGTGTTGTTTCATGACTTTTTAATGATCACCATTTTAACTGGTATGAGATGGTATCTCACTGTGGTTCTGATTTGCATTTCTCTGATGAGCAGTGATGATGAGCATTTTTTCATTTGTCTGTTGTCTGCATAAATGTCTTCTTTTGAGAAATGTCTGTTCATATCCTTTGCCCACTTGTTGATGGGGTTTTTTTTTTTTGTAAATTTGTTTAAATTCTTTGTAGATTCTGATATTAGTCCTTTGCCAGATGGGTAGATTGCAAACATTTTCTCCCATTCTGCAGGTTGCCTGTTCACTCTGATGGTAGTTTCTTTTGCTGTGCTGAAGCTCTTCAGTTTAATTAGATCCCATTTGTCTATTTTGGCTTTTGTTGCCATTGCTTTTTGTGTTTTAGTCATGAAGCCTTTGTCCATGCCTATGTCCTGAATGGTATTGCCTAGGTTTTCTTCTAGGGTTTTTATGGTTTTAGGTCTTACGTTTAAGTCTTTAATCCATCTTGAGTTAATTTTTGTAAAGGGTGTAAGGAAGGGATCCACTTTCGGCTTTCTTCATATGGCTAGCCAGTTTTCCCAGCACTATTTATTAAATAGGGAATCCTTTCCCCATTTCTTGTTTTTGTCAGGTTTGTCAAAGACCAGATGGTTGCAGATGTGTGGTGTTATTTCTGAGGACTCTGTTCTGTTCCATTGGTCTATATATCTGTTTTGGTACCAGTACCATGCTGTTTTGGTTACTGTAGCCTTGTAGTATAGTTTGAAGTCAGGTAGCGCGATGCCTCCAGCTTTGTTCTTTTTGCTTAGGATTGTCTTGGCTATACAGGCTCTTTTTTTGTTAAGACAGAGTCTCACTCCTTCACTCAGGCTGAAGTGCAGTGGTGTGATCTTGGCTCACTGCAACCTCTGCCTCCTGGGTTCAAGCAATTCTCATGACTCAGCCTCCTGAATAGCTGGGATTACAGGTGTGAAGCATAATGCCTGGCTAATTTTTGTATTTTTAGTAGAGATGGACTTCACCATGTTGGCCAGGTTGGTCTTGAACTCCTGACCTGAAGTGATCCACCCGCCTCAGCCTCCCAAAGTGCTAGGATTACAGGCGTGAGCCACCGTGCCCCGCCTGCTTCTCTGATTTCTACATTAACTATTTAGTATTTACTATATCAAAGCAGAGGGTGCTGTAGATTAAAAGAAACATGGATTTGAGTGCTGGTTCTGTTACATATTAGTTGTATAGTTGTGGGCAAGCCACTAAACTTTCTCATCTATCAAGTGAGTGACTGCAGTAACCTGCCTTGCAAATTTATCACAAAGAATAAATGTGAAGGCACACTAAAAACTATAAAACTTGGAGGATTCTGGGAAGAAGATAGAGTAGGAAGCATCAGAAGTCTGTTTCACCACCTAGACAAAAACTGCACTGGCAGAATCTCATGTAACTATTTGGGAACTCTGGAGTCTACTGAAGGCTTACAACTTTCAGGGGAAGGGATGGATATTAAATTGCAGTTAATTTCCGTCATTTCAGCTCTCAGCCAGTAGTAGCTACCCATCCTACACTCCATGTTCCCGGAAGATCTTTCACACAGCTTGCTGAAATTAGGGTGGGGAGAAAAAAAGACCCTGTCCTCCAAATAATGGGGACTCCTGCTCTGATCACTGATTACTGGCTATGATCACAGAAGTATAGATGAAGAGGTGAAGGCCATTTTTGTTATGCCTCTCCCTCATGGTTGCAAGCCCCTCCCCTTCTAGCTGGAGTGAATTCCAGGGGATTTAAGGGACTGGTGTCTTTTTTTTACCTCCTTTCATTTATCTCCTTTTCACCTTATGGAAACCAGACATTGAAGACTAGTGCATCCAAAAGCTGCTACATGTAGAGAGGAAATTAGGAAGTCACTGCACGTGTCCAGGCAAAGGCACAGGCTCAGGCTCAGAAAAACCCAAGAAAACCTTAAGTGTATAGCTCAGGCTGATCTGCACAGAGAGAGCCTACAACAATTTAAACAACAACAACAACAAAAAACAGTAAGTCTTAGAGAAGGAAGAGACTCTGATTTCCGGAAATACAACACTGTTAGATTCAAATGTCCAGTTTTCGGCAAAAAAAGAAATCACAAGTCATACGTAGAAACAGGAAAGTATGGCACATTCCAAGCAAAAGAATGAATCAACAGAAATTGTGCCTGAAAAACACCTGATGGCAGATCTACCAGACAAAGACCTTAAAATGACTGTCTCAAAGACACTCAAAGAACTGAAAGAAAGAAAGAAAGAAAGAAAGAAAGAAAGAAAGAAAGAAAGAAAGAGAAGGAAGGAAGGAAGGAAGGAAGGAAAGAAAGAAAGAAAGAAAGAAAGAAAGAAAGAAAGAAAGAAAGAAAGAAAGAAAGAAAGGAAAGAAAAGAAAGGAAGGAAGGAAGAAAGAAACAAAGAAATAAAGAAAGAAAAAAGAAGGCCAGGCACAGTGGCTCATGCCTGTAATCCCAGCACTGTGGGAAGCTGAGGCAGGTGGATTACCTGGGGTCAGGAGTTTGAGATCAGCCTGATCAACATGGTGAAACCCCATCTCTACTAAAAATACAAAAATTAGCCAGGTGTGGTGGCACACACCTGTAATCCCAACTACCTGGGTGGCTGAGGCATGAGAATCTCTTGAAACTGGGAGGCAGAGGTTGCAGTGAGCACAGATTGTGCCACTGCACTCCAGACTGGCTGACAGAGTAAAACTCTGTGTCAAAAAAAAAAAAAAAAAAAAAGAAAGAAAGAAATGTGAAAAAGTCAAGAAAATGATGTATGAACAAAATGTAAATATCATAAAGAAATATAGAACTTAAAAAGAAAATAGAAATTATGGAGCTGAAAAAATACTGTAACTGAAATTTAAAAATCACTAGAGGGATACAGAGTCAGATTTGAGAAAGCAGAAGAGAAGAGCCACCAGGTGTGGTGGCTCACGCCTGTAATCCCAGCACTTTGGGAGGCCAAGGTGGGTGGATCACAAGGTCCAGAGATCAAGACCATCCTGGCCAACATGGTGAAACCCCGTCTCTACTAAAAATACAAAAAAATAGCCAGGCGTGGTGGCGGGCGCCTGTAGTCCCAGCTACTCAGGAGGCTGAAGCAGGAAAATGGCGTGAATCTGGGAGGCAGAGCTTGCAGTGAGCCGAGATCGCGCCACTGCACTCCAGCCTGGGCGACAGACAAAGACTCCATCTCAAAAAAAAAGAAAAAAAAGAGAAAGCAGAAGAGAAAATCTGAACACAGAAGTGAACTTTAATACAGAATAATGAAAACTAAGTCTAATGAACAACAACAAAAAAATATTGAATAAAAGTGGCCAGGCACAGTGGCTCACACCTGTAATTCTAGCACTTTGGGAGGCCGAGGTGGGCGGATCACCTGAGATCAGGAGTTCAAGACCAGCCTGGCCAACATGGTAAACCCCATCTCTACTAAAAATGCAAAAAAATTAGCCCGGGCGCCATGGCTCAAGCCTGTAATCCCAGCACTTTCAGAGGCCAAGGCGGGCAGCTCATGAGGTCAAGAGATCAAGACCAACCTGGCTAACATGGCGAAACCACGTCTCTACTAAAAATACAAAAGTTAGCTGGGTGTGGTGGCGCATACCTGTAGTCCCAGCGACTCAGGAGGCTGAGGCAGGAGAATTGCTTGAACCAGAAGGCGGAGGTTGCAATGAGCTGAGATCGTGCCATTGCACTCCAGCCTGGTGACAGACTAAGACTCTATCTCAAAGCATGAGAATTGTTTGAACCCAGGAGGTAGAGGTTGCAGTGAGCCGAGATTGTGCCACTACACTCCAGCCTGGGCAACAGAGTGAGACTCCATCTCAAAAAAAAAAAAATTGAATAAAAGTGAACAGAGCCTAAGAACTAGACATCATCAAGTAAGCCATTATACACCTTATGGAAACCCTAGAAGAAATGAGAGAAAGAAAGGGAGAGACTATTCAAATAAACTGCAATGAGATACCACTTTATACTCATTAGAATCCTACTCATTAGGATTAGGATTATTTTGTGGGAAAGAACCCAGTCGGTGGGAAGTAAAATGGTGTGGCCACTGTGGAAAAGAATATGGTAGTTCCTCAAAAAATTAAAAATAGAATTACCATGTGATCTGGCAATTCCACTGCTGGGTATATACACAAAAGAACTTAAAGCAGGGTCTCAATTTTCAAAAGAAGACATATAAGTGGCCAACACGTATATATTTTTTAAATGCTCCATGTGACTAAGCACCTGGGAAATACAAATTAAAACCACAGGGAGATATCACCTCATACCTGTTAGAATGACTATTACCAAAGACATGAAAGGTAAGTGTTGGCAAGGATGCGGATAGAAACAAACCCTAACACTGGTGGCAAGAGTATGAATTAGTGTAGCCATTATGAAAAATAATATGGAGTTTCCTTCAAAAATTAAAAATAGAACTACTATATGATCCAGCATGTCCTCTTCTGTATATTTATCCAAAGGAAATGAAATCAGTATGTTAAAGAGATACCTGCACACCCATATTCATTGCAGCACTATTTATAAATAGCTAAGATATGGGATCAATCTACATGTCCATCAATAGATAAAGGGTTTCAGAACATGTGGTACCTATACAATGGAATACTATTTAGCCTTTTAAAAGAAGGAAATGTCATTTGCAAAGCCATGAATGAACCTGGTGAACATTACGTTAAGTGAAATAAGCCAGGCACTGAAAGACAAATACTGTATATTTCATTTATATGTGAAATCTTAAAAAGTCAAACTCATAGAAGCACAGAGTAGAATGATGGTTACCAGAGGCTGGGGGAGGGGGTTGGGGAGATGTTGGTAAAAGGATACACAATTTTAGTTAGGCAGGATAAATAAGTTCAGAAGATCTATTGTACATCATTGTGACTATAATTAATAACAATATGTTATGTACTTGAAAATTGCTTTTAAAAAACACAGGGCCTTGAAGAGAAATGTGTATACCCATCTTCATAGTAACATTATTCACAATAGCTAAAACATGGAAGCAACTCAAGTGTCTATCCACAGATGAATGGATAAGCAAAATGTGGCAAAATGTGGGGGGGGGGGGGTGTGTATAACAGAATATTATTCAGCCTTAAAAATGAAGGGAATTTGACATATGCTATAACATGGATGAACTTTGAGGACATTATGCTAAGTGAAATAAGCCAGTCAGAAAAGGATAAATACTGTATTGTTCCACTTACATGAGGTACTTAGAGTAGTCAAAATCATAGAGACAGAAAGTAGAATGGTGGTTGTCAGAGGATGGAAAAGCGGGGAATTGGGAGCTATTGTTTCATGGGTATAGCATTTTAGTTGTGCAAGATGAAAAGAGTTTTAGAGATGGATGGTAGTGACAGTTGTACAGCATTTAAATGTCCTTAACATTACTCAACTGTACACTTAAAAGTGGTTAAGATGGTAAATTTCATGTTATATGTATTTCATCATAATGAAAAAAAAAGAAAAAAAACACAAAAGAGCCCTGCAGAAATTTAAGTTTGCTGTTGTCACGTATTTTTCCTCTTTAAAAGTTACTTCTCCATGAGCACTGCACTTTTCCAAAGGAGGAAGTGTGCTTTATAATTCTGCATGTCTTCAACTTGTAGGTCGGCATCCTGCACCTAACAAGCCCTCAACCAACGTTGCTGCTATTCTTGACAAAATGCCTCATTAATATGTTGTCTGAAATAAAATGAAAGTGGAATAATGTCTCTTCCAAAAAACATTAACCAAAATATTTCTATCCACCTATAAAAAGAGCCATGCAGATAACCCCAAATTCATTAACTCCAAAATTATAAATTATTTTAACATCCTCAAGATAGGTCGATTAAAAAATTCAGTTTACTACTACAAAGAGTAGATGGCTGAAAGCACACAGCTAATTTTCAAAATTATAAAAGAGTACATATCTTAAGACTTTTGTATGAAGAACCAATAAGCTCATTAAATTAATAGGATAATCCGGGATTAATGCACACAGAATTAAATTCTCAATTTCTAGAAGAAGTATCTGTGAGAAAAAAACTGAAAGGTTAATTTACTGCCAGCTATGTATGGAATACTTTATTCAGTAGATTCCTAATATTTAAATTAATCTAATGAATTGTTCAGGAGCCTCTTTAAACCAAGCACCTGGGGAAAAAAAAAAGGGAAATACTTGTAATCCCAGCACTTTGGGAGGCTGAGGCGGGCGGATCGCGAGGTCAGGAGATCCAGACCATCCTGGCTAACACAGTGAAACCCCATCTCTACTAAAAATACAAAAAATTAGCCAGGCATGGTGGCGGGCACCTGTAGTCCCAGCTACTTGGGAGGCTGAGGCAGGAGAATGGCGTGAACCCAGGAGGCAGAGCTTGCAGTGAGCCGATATCACGCCACTGCACTCCAGCCTGGGCAACAGAGCGAGACTCCACCTCAAAAAAAAAAAGGAAATACTGCAATAATTTACTGAAAATTTGCCAAAAACCAGTAACTACAAGAGCAGCTGACACATATTTTGCCTCTTAAAAATAAGAGAAATGTGTGGGGCATGGTGGCTCATGCCTGTAATCCCAGCACTTTGGGAAGCTGAGGTGAGCAGCTCATTCAAGGTCAGGAGTTCAAGACCAGCCTGACCAACATGGTGAAACTCTGTCTCTACTAAAACACAAAAAATTAGCCAGGTGTGGTGGCGGGCATCTGTAATCCCAGCTACTTGGGAGGCTTAGGCAGGAGAATTGCTTGAAGCCAGGAGGTGGAGGTTGCAGTGAGCGGAGATCATGCCACTGCACTCCAGCCTAGGCAACAGAGTGAGACTCTGTCTCAAAAAAAAAAAAAAAAGAAAAAGAAATACAACATCCTCTTAGATGTCAGTTTTGTATCTGTTCATAGAACATACAATGACATTCAGGGAATCAGTGAGCCTAGGAGAGACTCAATCAAATTCAATAGTAAACTACCACAGCAAAGCTTTGATGGTCTCCATCAAAATAAGGAGGCCTGAAACAGTTTATAAACTCAAAGCACCAGAAAAATGGTATACCTGGAGAATGTTAAATCAGTTCCCACTTTCAGGTGGTTCTGCATCTAAATAGATGATTATATTCTAAAGATCTCCTGAGATCGAAATTTCATACCTTTTCTCAGGGAACAGTTAAATCACTCTTCCTCCTCTGTTGAATACTGTCCTGTTTGTCATTACCCCTCTCATTTAAAGCTAATGTAACAGCCAGGCATCAGACCCTTCCTAATCTGGTCCAAGGTGGGATCGCTTATCATCTTTGTTCTTAATGAAAGCTCTGGATTAGGGATGACAAACTGGTTTCAATTGATAATGTCAACTCCAATCAGTTGGTAATGATGCCTGGTACACTGTTGAGAAGAACCATGAGGCCAACTGCCGTTTATCAGGAAGAATTGCCATGATGATTTAGTGTGTGGTGCAAGGGTAATTGAGGCCTATTTGCTATCCCTGTTTGTTTTTCACTTCCCAAGGTGGTCTACTTGAAGTGAAAAAAAGCAAGACAAGATATATTCAGTGGTGGTGAAGATGCTACAGTCCTTCTTCCCTTTCTCTTGGCTCCTGGGTATGGTGGCATGCGGTTGTGCTAGTCTCATGTTATGAGTCCAGTCAGTGGCAAAAGTTATGTGGCAGCTGCTGTCAGAACATTTCCACTTCTCCACTCTACTGTAAGCACAGTACGCTCCCCTGCAAAACTCCAGTAGTCTGCAGCTGGCCCAATTCACTCCAAATGTCAGCTTCCTCATTTGACATGGCCATGTAGCATCATTTTCTCTAGTTCCGTATCACTGGTTACCCACCTTCTTAAGTGTGAGGACCTCCGTATGCTGCAAGAAACTTTTAGAACCCCCACCCTCAACCTAAGAAAATATATGATGACAAAAAATAAACAAATTATGAATTTAATAACACTGAGTAATTTTATATTTTACTACCCACAACTACATCTCTATACATATAAAAATCTATAGCATATAGATGTATGAGGCATAACGCCATCTTAGACAATTATTTGTAGACTTAGGAATTCATGGACTCCCTGGTATACTCTGAGATTCCCTAGGGCATTTTGGCTCCCAGTTGGGAACCACATGATGCTGTGCGTGGAGACTAGAAGGGAGAGGGCTACAGGCCTCATTACGGCAAATCTTCAAAAACAACACTGGGGAAAATTATGTTTCTCCTGGTTCTTTCTTCAAGAAGAAATAAATTTGACCTTCTTTTTTTAGGTTATATTTTTATTTAGTCATTGTCACTGCTCTCCTTTGGATATATTCCAGTTTCCCTCTAAAATGTGGAAATCAAAACTAGACATAAAAATCAAGTCCAAAGTGTATTCCTAAGGAATTCTGTGTTATCATGGGCAATAGCCTAGTCAGCTCTGTATGTGTCCCCAATACCTGGGTTAGACTACCTTTCTACTAGAACTCTCCTTACTCAAGATATACATGAAGCCTACTGACTAAACTAATGCTCCTAAAAGCCTAAAGACCCATATTTGATTTTTATTAATACAATGTATGCTTAATTGTCTACATTATTTTATTTTTAATGGATTAGAGGAATATTTTAAAATAAACTTTATTGTGTGTATTTAAAGTATACAACATGTGTTATAGGATACATACAGATAGTAAAAGGGTTACTACAGTGAAATAAATTAATATATCCATTTCACACAGCTACCTATTTTTCTTGTTTTTGTAGCAAGAGCAGCTAAAACCTACTCAGTGTAAGTCCCATATACAGTACTTTTTTTTCTTCAAAGATGCATTGTGAGCTGCTTTATTATAGTGAAATGAACCATTTAGCAAACTGTGAACTTCATAAGCAAGTGTTTAAAACATGATTTTCAAAGACATTCCTTACCATTGTGTTTAAAGCCATAATGGAAAGAGTTTACATGTACACGTTTAAAAGATGAATCTCAGCATATTACTTCAAAGATGCATTGTGAGCTGCTTTATTACAGGGAAGTGAACTGTTTACCAAACCACAAACTCCCATATACAGTACAACTGTATTACCTACAGTCCTCATATTGTACATTAGGTTTCTGATTGCAGTTTTAAATTCAGACTCATTAAATATAACTTACTCTTCTTAAGCAGGCTGATGAGGAGAGTTTTGAGGTCTTCCTTTAGGTATGGCAGGGAAAAATCAAACTATAAGAATCAAATTTTATTGAATTCCAGAAAGAATAAGGGTCCTAAACTTTTTAGTATTTTATTTGCAATACGGCTGAGATCCTCGGAGATATTTTAGCAAAAAACTTCATTGTAGATGTAAAAAATGTCATTATCATGATAATACAGGTACAGTCAGAAAGGAAGCATAAGTGCTTTCAATGGTAGTAATTTCAATTACCAGCTGAAAGCAATGTAAATGAATTAAATCTAAGAATGTGGTTTTTTTTTTCCAACAGTCAATTTGATGAACTCCTGAACCATCTTTTTATTTGCTGGGAGCTGACATGAAGTAATTATTTTAAACAGAGTACATATTTATGTCATGTAAATCAATTAGGCAAAATGTCTATATCATATTTTAATCTTTTAATTGTCTCTTACTCTTTTCACATCAAGCTTTTATCCAAAGCAATTCTTTAGCAGTATAGAGTTCAGTTGCTTCTGTTAAACAGTAAAAATACCAACAAGGGTAACCAAGTAGTAGATGAAAGACAGTTTTTCCTTATAGAAGTATTAGAGCTGATGAAGAAAACATAATAGAATGAGAATATAATTTTTTGAACTCCTAAGGAATCTACGCATTGATCATGACTGCTAATATCATTAAAAGAGAGACAATCAGCCTCACAATGGAAGAACACACTACCACCTATGAAACATCTTGACAAAAAGCCACATCTGAATGGGCAAGCTGCTAGTCTACCAATTTAAATAAAAATGAACACAATGGAAGAACCTGTTGAACTACTCCTAGTAATGCAGTGAGCAAAATCTAGACTGTGTGATAACTATAAGACAACCAATCTGGTTTTCTTACAAATAAACTTAAGGAAGAACAGAGAGGAGGGGAGTGGAAGAGGGAGAGAGTGTGAGACAGCGATAGAGAAAGAACCTTGCAGTTTATGACAGGAGATAATTAGAAATATGAACAACAGACTGGATATTTTATTATATTAAGAAGGTAATAACTTTTAGGTAATGATATTTGTAATGTGGTTTTTAAACAGTACTTACTTTTAGAAATGAATGCTAAAATACTTAGGGATATAATTATACAGGGTCTGAGACTGCCTTCATAATCCAGTTGTGGGGGAATAGTTGGGCTACAGATGAAACCAGTTCACCTACAAGTTGATCACTGAGGCTGGCTGATGGGTTTATAGAGTTTCATTATAATATTCTCTTTAATTCTAATTTTGAAATCTCCCATATGTATTAGTTTGCTAGGGCTGCCGTGAAAAAATACCACAGACTGGGCGGCCTAAACAACAGAAGTTTATTTATTTTCTCACTATTCTGGAGGCTGGAAGCCCAAGATCAAGGTATTGGCAGGCTTGGTTTCTTCTGAGGCTTCCCTACTTTGCTTACAGATGGTCACCTTCTCCCTGTGTCCTCACATGTTTTTTTCTTTGTGTGCACCTATCCCTGGTATGTCTCTTTGTGTATGAATTTCCTCTTCTTATGAGGACACTAGTCAGACTGCATTAGGGCCCACCCAAACGACTCCATTTTAAATTAACTATTTCTTAAAGGCCCTATCTCCAAATACAGCCCGAGCTACTGGGAGCTAGGGCTTCAACTTATGAATTTGAAAGGAATACAATTCAGCCTATAACACCATAATAAATTTAAAAGTAATATAAAATATAATATTGATAATATTTTTAAGTAAAACGGGTACATACATAAAATCTTTAACTTCAAAAACTGAATTAAAAAGATATGAACTGTTTCTCAGACTACATCTGCAAATAAACTTGTCTCATATTCTCACCTTTTAATATTTGCTTCATCACTCGACGTGTATCCTTAGCAAAGCTGTTATATTCATTTTCCTGGTAGTCCCTTTCTGAGATCTTAGAGACTAAATTGCATCATATGGAAAACAAAATTCTGTTGTGAGCAACTAGCTACATCCAGGTACTACAGCATTGTCTATGTTTTAAGGAAAATATTCATGTAACAAATATTATTTCTCACTTTCAAAATTATGCACAAACTGGGTAATTGACAAGGGTTAGGTGATAGCATAATCAGGAAAACATGTCCCAAGGTACCCACTTTTACTCAGTGGAGATCACTGATAGAAGGCCAGGGTCTGATTTTCCTGTCCTATGCAACAGGGTTTACATGAAGTCATAGAGAAAATACTAGCCAGACTTTACGTAAATCTGGGAATATAACACATTAGTTAGAAGTTAGCATTAGATTCCAAAAAAAAGGTCATTACAACCTGAAAGAATGAGGCCTAATAAGGCGATAAACTTTACGAGGGATAAATGTATGATTCTACACTAGGGCTCAAAACCACTTACTGGAAAAAATAAGAAAAGAGAGGTATGGCTTTACAAGAACACATATTAATATTTTTGTTAAAAACTTTAATGGTAAGGGGGACACTGAGGGTCAATAATGTGTTTACGGAGAGTTCACATATTATTAGGTGTACCAATAAGATTCCAACAACTCAAAAGAAAGATGAGGATCCCATTTCAGTCAAGGCTGTTCAGGTTTCATCTGGCACATTTTGTTTCCAGATGATACACTTTAAAATACAATACTAGGACGGTAAATATATTTAATACCATGTCAAATGAAGAATAATTACTATTCTTGAACTTGGAAGTGTTAGTCAAGATTAAACAAAGACTGAAGAGAGACATAATCTTGTCTTCAAATACCTGGGGGGGCTGCCATTTGGAAAAGCTTTAGGCCTATCCTCCTGGGCCCCAAGCAGGAAGAACTCAGGAGACCCAGCTAACCCCTCCCCAACCTTTAGGAATATCACTTCCTCAGGGAGGCCTTCCCCGGCCTACAGACTGTGGGCTCCTGGCCACTGGTTTCTGCAGTTTTCATTCTTCTCTGTTGGGCACTAATCCTATTTCTAATTGTCAAATCGTGTTAGCCTGTGTCTTAGTCCATTCAGTTGCTTTTAACAAAATACTATAGACTAAGTGGCTTATAAATAACACATTTATTTCTCACAGTTCTGGAGACTGGGAAGTCCGAGTTCAAGGCACAGCCAGATTCTGAGTCTGGTGAGGGCTTGCTTCCTGGTTCTTAGATGGCTGTCTCTCACTTGAACATCACATGGAGAAGGGGATAAGGGGTCTCTCTTGGACCTCCTTTATAAATACACTAATGCCAATCACGAAGGCTCTGCTCTCATGATCTCATCACCCCCGTAAAGTCCCAGTTGCTAATACCATCATCCTGGGGGTCAGATTTTCAACACATGAATTTGCAGGAGAGACATAAACATTCAGACCATAGCACCACCCTAGACTGTAAGTTCTCAGAGAAGACAGACCATGTCTGATTTGTTGGTCCTAGAACACTTGTGCCTAGCATAGTTGAATGAAAGAACCCATGAGATATGGATTTGGATTTAATATGAAGATTTATGTATTTTTTTAATAGTGTTGTGCAAATTCATGGGCTGCCTCAAGAGGGAGCAGTTTTCCTTTCACGGGTGGCCTGCATTCAGTCTTAAAACGGCAGTGAGAGTGAGCGGATTAAAGGTGACTAGGCTAAATGAATTTTACCCTCTTTGCCAACTGAAGAACTATGATTTGAATTCTTCTGGGAAACATCAGCTCAATTCTGATCCATTTTGGAAAAGTTTAATAATAAATTTTTCATAATTGCTCCTGTTCAAACCCAAATTTCATTTGTTTCTCCCCACTTTTTATTTATCCTTCTCTCCCTACTCCCCAAAGCTGATGATTAATATTTCTATTTTATTGTAAGGATGTATAAAGCTTCAGAAAACATAGTAGCAGACAGTGAGGTGAAGTCAGACTTAGAGACAAGGAAAATATTTCTGAGATTGTTAGCATCAGCTGGGCCAAAAGTAAATGTAGATTTGATAAATGACACAAAGTCATTACCTCTCCATTTCTCTTTTTGCTGATTCGATTTTTACAAGGACCCAATTTTCCCTAAAAACACATCAGACTTTCAGCAAATATTAAGACTGCATCTTTTATTTACAAGGCAAAAAAATCTACCTAAATACTTTTCATTAAAACTGTGTGCCCTGTAATACTGGTTTTCAGATAGTCAAATATTATATAACTTTGGTTATTCCTGTGGGAGTTAATGGGCAAAGACCTTGAAGGTCATTCTCCTTACAAATTACTAAAACTACCAATTCTGACCTTGATTACTTGATTTAGTTTGATAATGAAGTTTGAGGATGAAGTGAAATATGTGAATAAATACACATGCCTGCTATCCTTCCTCTACTCTCTACCTTCCTTCTAGAGGAACATCTTTTGTGACAGTATCCTCTAGCCCTCTATCAATTCATAGATAACTATGGAATTGGGAAAACAATATGTTATCAAACAATAATAATAAAAACACAAATATATTTATTTCAAACCCTATTATATCTGTTGAAAAGGTTAAGAAACAGGTAGATAGAAACAATTAGGTAGAAGGTGAGAAACAATTAGATAAGGACAGGGAATTAGGTAAGGAGTGGGGGCTAGCAAATGATACCCTGTAGTTGGGAGTACAACTGTTGGGAGGGTACCCACACACCAAGCAAAGGGGCTTCGAGAGAGCTCCACCCACAAAGAGGACTGAGTATGACTCTCCTAAGTGTGACCTAGATGGAAATAATTTTTATGACCTTTAAATCTAATGCCTACCTCTTTCTGAAGACTTAATTCTTTCTTCTAAGGATGAAGACAAGGAACGGATTACAGCGAAGACAAGAGGAGTATGGGGAGGTTCATGATTTTCAAATGCTTAATGTTTTCCTTTTGTACCATGTCATACTAGCAGTTAAAGACCAGAGAGTAGATGTTTGAGTTAAACCTCACTATGTTTATGTTGATATTTATACCTTACACGTTTTCTACAGCTTTAAGCAAACCTTGCCAAACAATGTAATGAGTCTCATGTTTAGCATAACTTCATACATGTCTCTGAAAAAAAAATACATGTGGAAAAAGATATGCCTATCCCAGGAAAAATTACATAGGTATACTCTTCAGAGCAGTGCTTCTCAAATTTGATTGTGAATATAAATCACCTGGAGATCTTGTAAAAATGCAGATTTTAATTCAGTGGGTCTCAGGTGGGGCCTGGGATTCTGCATTTCTAACAAGTTCCAGGTGATGTTGATAATATTAGTGCACAGAACACACTCTGAGTATGTTTTAGACCATGACATGAAAACTCAGCTTCGGCAGGAAATCTGTCCCCTCAACCTCATTTCCCCTTTCATAATTTCCCACTGAGTTCCTACGCTTTTCCGTTTTGCTGGTGAGAAAGTTTTAGGTACGGCAGGATGGATACAAATGGAAAGAAAATATTCTAAAATTACAACTTCAAGTGAAGATTTTAAGTTGACTCAAGGGTAGAGACATATTTTTAATGTACATGAATTACACATACTTCACCCAAATCATTGAATACATGATATTCTATTTCTTGACATAAATGGAGCCCTATGTCTGCCTAATTTAAAAGTAAGTTTATTTACAGACGACCTATAGAATGGGAGAAAATATTCACAAACTATTCCTCTGACAAAGGTCTAATACCCAGAATCTATAAGGAACTTAAAGAAATCAACAAGCAAAAGATAACCCCATTAAAAAGTGAGCAAAGAACACAAACAGATACTTCTCAGAAGAAGACATACATGCAGCCAACAAACATGAAAAAAAATGGTCCACATCACAAATCACCAGAGAAATGCAAATCAAAACCACAATGAAATACCATCTCACACCAGTCAGAATGGCTTTTGTTATAAAGTAAAAAAAAAAAAAAAAAATGTTGGTCAGGCTGTGGAGAGAAAGGGACACTTACACAATGTTGGTGGGAATGTAAATTTGTCTCGCCACTATGGAAACCAGTCTGGAGATTTCTTTAAAAACTAAGATTTCAACTACCATTCAACCCAGCAATCCTATTACTGGGTATATACTCAAAGGAAACTCAGTTGTTCTACCGAAAGGACACATGCACCCACATGTATGTTCATTACAGTGTTATTTCCAATAGCAAAGACACGGAATCAACCCAGGTGTCCAACAACAGTGGACTGGATAAAGAAAATGTGGCACACATATGCCATGGAATACTACACAGCCATAAAAAAGAATGAAATTGTGTCCTTTGCAGCAACATGGATGCAGCTAGAGGCCGTTATCCTAAGCAAACTAATGCAGAAAAAAAAAACCAAATACCACATATTCTCACTTATAAGTGGGAGCTAAACACTGGGTAAACATGAACATAAAGATGGAAACAATAGACACTGAGGAATATAAAAGAGGAGAGGAAGGGAGACAAGGGCTGAAAAACTACCTATTGGGTACTATGCTCAACACCAGGGTGACAAGTTTAGTCATATCCCAAACCTCAGCATCACAAAATATACCTCTGTAACAACCTTGTACATGTACACCTTGATTCTAAAATATATGTTGAAAAACAAAAAGAAGTTTAATTAATACACAGCACATAATCTCATTGTTCAGGTGTCTCTGAGGAGTGAGGTGATCTAAATAAATCACATTTTTCAGATAACTAAAGTTTATCTTTTTAAGTTTCCAGATGTATTTATTTTAGAAATTTTTAATTGAAATCTTTCTGGAATTAACATACTCAAGAATTTTTAACTATGCAAAACAAAGTCTAACATATCTGCCCAGGCGTGGTGGCTCAGGCCTGTAATCCCAGCACTTTGGGAGGCCGAGGAGGGTGGATCACGAGGTCAGGAGTTCAAGACCAGCCTGGCCAAGATGGTAAAACTCTGTCTCTACTAAAAATACAAAAATTAGGCGGGCGTGGTGGCAGGTGCCTGTAATCCCAGCCACTCGGGAGGCTGAGGCAGAGAATTGCTTGAACCAGGGAGATAGAGGTTGCAGTGAGCCGAGATTGCATCACTGCACTCCAGCCTGGGCAACAGAACAAGACTCCATCTCAAAAAAAAAAAAAAAAGTTTAACATATCTACAATTACCCAGGGTCAGTAGTTTTTACTCCATGGTATGACATAACAACATTATAAGAGCTACTAAGGTCTGCATGGGACTATGTGCTCTCACACAGTGGAGTCCCAGTGCCCAGAGCAGGGTTTCTCAGTCTATTTGGAGCAATCTTCTGCTTCCTTCCACCATGGTCAGCTGCCACCTCACTCTGTTCTCTGATTGCCATTCCCTTGCAATTTCTAATCTGCTGCTTTGTTTTTCACGACAGTCTGGGAAAGATTCTGAAATGGGCTCCCTTCTCACTCCTGTTTTTAAAGCAGGAGCTCCCTTTCAGAGTTTTCAGTTGCTGGTAATCTGAATTCAGATAATCATGTCAGCTTAAAGAAATCACAGAAAGTAATCCCTCTGTAAGTATCTCCTACTATGACTATTGAATACTCACTGATGCCGGTGTCCTTACAGTACTGGACCAAGTACTGTCCCATGACTTTTAGTAGATGATTATACTCTTGGACATTGAGAAATTCCTGTTTATTATGGGATGGTTCCATGACCTCCAAGGGTATATTAACAATTCCAACCACGCCTGCGCCAAGTCTGAGAAAATATATGCATATTTAAATTTTGAAAATTTGGCTAAAGAAAAAAATCAAATATATTCTGGTCATTTGAAATCATTTTTTTTTTCAAAAATAAATTCATTCTGTTGATCTGGACCATGTCAAAGTTTAACAAGTTAGCTAATTATGTTATCATAAGTCTGTGGTGATCCCAACATGTTTGGTCCCATAATAAAAAAATCACTTTAGCACAATGTTACAGAGTTAATACGACTCGTTTTACAAATCTATCGCCTTACGTGGAGAGTGAGGGTGGGTGGGAAGGCAAGGCCTTTTGACATTAAAAACCATGGTGCCTTACTGCAATAAAGGGCATGATCTTCTAAATGACAGTGGCCAGAGAACCCCTTTCTTTCTCCGCATTTCATCTAACAGATTGGATTTCTCCTCTTCATTGCAGAGGTCCTTGGGGTGCTCAGTGAATTCTATGAAGGAATCACAGAGTTGGCTTATCCATGAGGATCTCACTGGAAATCTGGTTGGTGACATAACCTGCTTTGGCAAAGAGCATACCACTGTCTAAGCCTTTAGGGCTCCCCACTGCCTTTTGCACGGCACATGTGTCAAAGCCTCACAATTTGGGGTCCCTGCCTATAGTGTTTTCTTACCACTTCACTCTTCCACCTTGCTTTCCTTTCACTATTCATTCTCTAAGTCTAAATTTGGGCTTCATTCTTCTAGAAGGCCTAAATTGACTTCTCCAGTTTGCTCTACTGCCCCTCCTAAATGCTCTTTTTGCACTGGATGCTCACCTCTAACATAACATTCATTCATTCATTCAAGCTCAGCACCAAGCCCTGTTCCAGGAACTAAGAATATGGTGAGAACCAGAAATACAGGTTCCCCCTGGCTTTGAAGTTTCTCTTTTACCGAAGGGTGGCAGGCATGAAGCTAATAAACAGATAAATATACAAGATCATTTCAGATGGTGATAAGTGGGGTGAGGAACATAATGCAGGTGCTGTGATATGTGAAGAGTGACAGGTGGTGGGGAAGGAAATGGACCAGTTTTAATTAGACAGTCAAGGAAGACCTTCCTGTGGAGAATACTTTAGGCTCATGGCTGAATGGCATGTTAGGGCCAGCAGTAAGAAAATCTGAGAACAGAAGATTCAAGGCCAAGGAAATGGCATGTCCCAAGGTCTCAATGCAGAAGTGAGCTTAGGAGGTCTGAGAAACAGGAAATGCAGAGAGGGTAGGGTATTAGTAGGGGGTGAGGTCCCACAGCCAATCAGAGGCCAGATAACTGGAAGCCCATGGCAAGCAGTTCTATTCTGAGTACACTGGGATTTAAGCAAGAAATCCAACTAATCTAGGTTTTATTTATTTATTTATTTTTTGAGACAGAGTCTCGCTCTGTCACCCAGGCTGGAGTGCAGTGGCACAATCTTGGCTCACTGCAAGCTCTGCCTCCCGGGTTCATGCCATTCTCCTGCCTCAGCCTCCCGAGTAGCTGAGACCACAGGTGCCCGCCACCACACCTGGCTAATTTTCTGTATTTCTAGTAGAGACGGGGTTTCACCGTGCTAGCCAGGATGGTCTTGATCTCCTGACCTCGTGATCCGCCCACCTCGGGCTCCCAAAGCGCTGGGATTACAGGCGTGAGCCACTGAGCCCAGCCATAATCTAGGTTTTATAAGATCATTCTTGTTATTTTCATACAATATAAAAAATATGCATTTATATGCTTGTCCTTTTCACTGGACTATACATTCCTTAGCAAAAGGAGCATTTATCAGCAGAGCTTAGTATAGTGCCTGGCATACAATGCTGCACTATAGGTGCTTGTTAAATAAACAATGAATGAATTGCTAATTCCTTGAGAGTGAGGAAGCAAGATAGTAAATGCTCCCTGACCCATTCTATTGGTCATGATTACCTTGTCTGACCCTGTCCTTTTCTGTGCGTCTCTTCAGGACTCTACATCATTGATGAAAGCAGCTTGAGAAGTTTCAGACCATTGGGAAAGCACAAGAATGTATTACGCTAAAATCCAAATAGGCTAGAGAGTTTTAATAACATATGATCATGAAGCTAACTGGCATGAACTCATACATGTAGGGTTGCTTTACAAGACTATGGATTTTTCTTTTCCTTCTCTTCTAAAATGTATTTAATAAGCTCGTATTATTTTTAAATTGGTAAAGCATTAAAAATTTATGGCAAAGAGGTGGCACAAGGAATGGCCCCACATCAAGTTGTTCAATAAATGCATTGAAAAAAATTTCCCAAAGTGTGCTTTTTCCTTAGAGCATGCATGCAGATTCACTGATACTATCAATGAGGCAGATTAATGCCTGCACTTCAACAGGAAGGGTGAACAGAGACTATGACACTTGCTCCCATTGTGATTAGTCACTCATCTCACTCCACAGACAGAATCTTACTGTAACATCCCTTTCTCTGCTTATATCTCTGAAAGCAAAAACATACTCACAAGGACTTCAGTTTCAACTGTGAGCCCACTTTTTCATGCATTTTGATCAAACGGTTATTACTGTAAATGAACATTCCAGCTTGGCTTCGGTTTTCTACGTTCACTCCATAGAACAGGGAGAGCGTTCTTGCTGTTTTTAATTCTCTAGAGTTACATTTAAAAAGTTTAAAAAGTTGTTTATTAAATAAACATACACAGTTTAGGAAACTGCTAATAATTAAACTAGAAGGTTAACGTCAAAGGCATATATCCAAATATTTTGCAAAACCTGGTAGGCACACTCAGTTGTCTCTGTATAGCCAAGTATTCTGCATAAACGTGATGCCAGTAACTATGCCAGTCAAACAAAGGATTTACTGATTCAAAAACACATCTGCCAATTTAAATTTACAAGAACTAGAAAATGCTAAAAGAGTTCTGAAATATTAACGGGTCGTATAGGTACATTGCAGCATTTTTTACAAAATGATGACTTGGCTATTTTAAATTTTAGGTATTTCTAACAGTAGATGTGATTTCTAAATTTCAGCATGTTCTCAAGTCTCCAGATATCCTACATAGATTGGAATGTGCCAAAAGATATTCTCTGGCTTCCTCTCTAACCCTTTCCAAAATACAAGGTAAATAAGTTATTATAATAAAGCAAGTTTACAAGGGCAACAGAGATGAGCTCCTGTTTTTCTGACTGACCTTCTATATTATGTTTTGTGTGAGTTTTCTATTAAAAGTGTAAAATAGAAATTGAGAAATACCAAAATGTGATAAAAACAGCTATGGTAAGGAGTTATGATATAAACACCTGTAATATCAGAGGCTGCTGGAAGCTATGAAAATGCCTGGATGTGAGAGGCACACCTGGTTTCAAATACAAGCCTGTCTTTGTAATAACCATGTGACCATGGATGGTGCCTCTTAAACTTTCTGTCTCATTTGAAAAATGGGAGTAATACCTACCTAGCCACTTGTGATGTCATAAGAACTAAAAGAAATAATGTTAAATATAAGCCTGGAACAGATTAGGTATATAACAATCATTATTTTCTTTACCCAATCAAGAATGACACCAAAAATAATTCTCCTGCACTTACCCTGTAGCTCCCCTCTCTCCACAAACTTGGCCTTTTGTTTTCAGGCTTATGACCACGTGCTATTATAATTGACATAATATACTTATTGGACTAATTAAATGCATCTATCATTAAAGAACAATGATAAAGTTCTATCAGTCCTTCCATGTGGATATGATATATATATATAGAACATAAGACATGAGTTAATATACTATATATTTATTAAACACATGTATATCTAAGGTTAAATATATAGGAATCAAACTTTTTCTCAAAAATCACTACTCAGTAATGAGATCCCAAAAGGATATTCAACAAAAGTACTGACTGTATAAGGGATACCTAAATAGGGTATTACAGGATACGACATAGTCACTCTACAATATTAAAGGATATACTGATATTCTTCTATTAAAAAAAACCCAGCATTTTGCCATTAAAACAAGTTCATGGCAACTGGCATTATTATTAATGAAGTGTTGATTGGTCACTTTTCAAACATTTCACTGTATGAACCATCTCATACAGTGAACTTGTTTCAAGAAGGTTTTTATTTCTAAAGACCTTAGAGAGGGCTTTGTTTTTAAATTACAATTTCTATGACATTTATTTACATTTTTCTAGTAAATGCATAAGTAACATTTCACATTTATTTATTTTGATAAATGCAAAATTTACATTTAAAATTTAAGTTTTGAGGAAAGTTATGGTTGAATGTCAGTGCATGGTTCACGAAAAATAATGTTAAGAACTAATCATATTTCCCTTAAAAATAGTTTCACAAAGGTATCACAGCTTTCAAAGTCTGATCTTATGTGGGCAGCAGTGATTATTTTAAGTTTAACTTCTTCAGCATTTGAGTTGGAGAGCAAGTTCATCTTACAAATGTAAATATTTGGTTTTGTTAACATATCCTTCCTATTTTCATTTTTAGCGATATATAAGCAATACATTCACGTGAAACATTATTTCCTATCTTAAATTTTAAGCTACTAGACAAAGGGAAGAAACTGGAACCAACTCTCCAGAATTTAAATGGCAAATGACACAGAAGGAAAGTGAGTTATCAGCTGTTCCTCCGGGCAGTTCACTTTCACTTCCTCATCCAGACATTTTCATCTAGCCCAATTAAATGCTGAACTAATTTTTCACTTTTTTTTTGGAAGTTTTAACATTATGTAGACACACGTGTACGTGCAAATATATACTTTATCAATGTTTTACATTGCTTATCTTGGTTGTGGGAACTTGACTATATTAGGTTTCAGATTATAAGATGTCACAAGCTGAAAAAAAATTGTCACAATAACCACTAAATCTGCCTACTTAGAAACCAGAATTTGTTTTAACAGAGTACAGAGGATTCCTGCAAACAGAAAACCTTGTGTCTTACCTTTGTTTCTCTTTAAGATTCTTTTGCTTTGCTTCTACATCTTCCAAAGCTCTCTGTAATACATCCTGGAGAAATGCATTGGTTGGGAGAGAACATAATGCCACTGAATTAACAAAAAGCAAGTTGATATTATCCTATTATCCAAATGTTTCAAGGGTAACAATAGCTCACATTACCTAATGCAATTCTACCATCATAGATTCTCAATACTTGATAAATTATTCAGTTCCAATACTTTAGAAGATAAACCAAATCCTAACCCACTATTCTCTTTTGTACATATCCAGATATCCTCTCTGCCTTTTAGAGAAAGAAAGTTTATTCTCTATAATGACACAACGGCTTTGACAAAAACTACATGAAAACTTGGGTGAGTTATTTAGTGTACCCAGGCTCTGACTTTTGTTTGTGAGAACAATAAATGCTCAATTATGTGACCACGAAGTGTTTTTGCAGGAAAAAAAAAAAAGATAATTGAGAAATTTTGTTAGTAGCCAACAGAAAATATCTCCTTCATATCGAATTCTGGATACCTCTAATATTTCTCAAACTTTCCCTTTATAGGATACCCCATGCCCAGTTACCTTTCTTATTAAACTTTTGATTTGATATACCAACTCATTCACTACTCTAAATCTGGTATGCTCCCTCTAACCAAGCAGAAGAGGAATAATTCATTATTGTTGTTCTCAGGCATAAGAATAGCCTCTTAACATGCTTCATTCACCTGAGGTGAAAGGTGGGTATGTCTTTTGATGTATGGCATACTACTGAATGAACACTATTTTCACTGAATTTCAAGTAAAAGAAAGTGGAAAATGGTTGGCAAGTATTCCATTTAAAATTCATCTTCCCATAAGAATTTAAGACGTCAAAAGTTCAGGTCATTCTGCTTTGCTCTCTTCTCTGCCTTAAAGAAACCAGAGTGCATCAGAGCAACAGGACAAATTGGTCAAGGACTTCCCCACCCTGCCTGGCAGTGCCCCCAGAGCACAGAACAGAGGCAGGGAGAAGAAACAGCAGAAGGCAAAAAGGAAGCAAGGTCCTGACCCATTAGTCTTTTTCTGGACTCTCAAACATACAAAGCAAAGGGAAATGATTTCTTAAAAACAAAATTTTAAAAAGCTTAAACTATTAAAAATCAATGATCAATAACAATAAGATAGGTTTACCCTTAATTTAAAAAAAAATGAAAAAAAAAAACTAAGAGAATTTGGGGCAAGCCATGGATAGAATTAACTTTGGGGCATTACCACGAGCTACTCTTTGATGTCATCCCTTACTCAGGACCTTAGATATGAAAGGTCTTTATCAGACACAGCCTTGGTCCTGGAAAGTCAAATGGCAAAATCACTGAAAGGATTCATATATTCAGTCTGTAGAAGAGGATGAAGAGAAGGTGAAGTAAGGCATTTTACCTCCATATTCCTACTTATCCCTTTGTATGTAAGCAAATAAATATGTTGCTTAATCATTCACCATCATTTAAAGCTTCATACCATATTTTTGGTAAAAGTTAGCAAACTTACATGTCTTGTAGCAATATTCTTTTTCTCTTAGTTGCAATGCATTATAATTAATAATAGTTCTTTTTAACTTATCTTACTCATGGGCATATTGTTAAGAATTACAAAGAATGTTTATGAACTGTGTGGAGAAACTCATAATAAAAGAGCTTTGTAAGCTGGAAGCATTCTTATTAATATTCATAATTACAGTATATAATTCCTAGCACTAGAAAGAAGGATTGCTTGTTAGACCTTTCCTTCCTTTCCCCATTTATTTAGGTCCACAGGGAGCTCTAATTTGAATAGATATTTTCAAGGAGACTCGATAGGCTAGTTTTTTCTTCTGCTGGCTTTTCATTATTTTTTCCCTTTCTCCTGTTACTTTCCTTTCCATTTTAAAGAAATGGGTTGTGATGCTGTTCCCCACCATTTCAAATTCACCCCATGTTCTGTTCATCTTTTCTCTCTGCCTCAGCCTTGCCCCGACTTGCTGAGTTTCCTCTCCTTTCTCTGAACTCATCTATTCTGTTTACCTGAGTTAAAATCAACTTAATCTTCTGAGCTTATCTGTGCTTAAAAGTTTAGGAAGTAGATGATAAGAGACAACTATGCACAGGAAAAAGCAAATGACACAATTTGCCATTTAATAAGACTACTCTCTTTACATGTCGTACCTTGGCAGAAGATAAAGAGGTTCTGTCACACTGGTTTACTTTGATTTGTGCTTCTTTCAATATGGATTCAGCTGGAAGTAGAAGCCAAATAGTTATAACACAGCAAAATTATTTCAAGCAATTTTAAGTGAGTATTTTCTATACATGTAGCATGACCAGTGAAAAAGGCATACAGACCATGATCTGAGAAAACCCTATGTTCCTCTTATAACTTTTACACATGTTAAATTTTCCTTCTATTGGGGTTTCATTTAGGTATGACAATTTACAGGACATAAATATACAAATATAAATTCAGAAGTCATGAGTTTTTAGCTGACAGAAAATGCTTTAAAATCCACAAAATATGGATATAGAGCTACTACTCACTCCCAGATACTAGGGAAGAGAGTTTTGTTCCTGCAGTAGGAGGAGTGAATATGTAGAACATCCTTCTTTTTTTTTTTTTTTTGAGACAGAGTCTCGCTCTATCACCCAGGCTGGAGTGCAGTGGCGCGATCTCAGCTCACTGCAAACTCCCCCTCCCAGGTTCACGCCATTCTCCTGCCTCAGCCTCCTGAGTAGCTGGGACTACAGGCGCCCACCACCACACCCGGCTAACTTTTTGTATTTTTAGTAGAGACAGGGTTTCACCGTGTTAGCCAGGATGGTATCAATCTCCTGACCTCGTGATCCGCCCGCCTTGAGAACATCCTTCTTAAAGCGGATGCAGTGCAGGGATCTAAAATGACCTAACACAGTGCTATGACAAGCAGGGTTTCTTAGTTTATTTTATTTTTTAAAATAGAGACACAGTCTCGCTATGTTGCCCAGGCTGGTCTTGAACTCTTGGCCTCAAGTAATTCTCCCATCTTGTCCTCCCAAAGTGCTTGAATTATAGGTGTGAGCCACCATGCCCAGACAGACAAACAAGGTTTCTAACAAATATCAATCTAGTTTGAAGTGTGTTCAGGATCATACTTATAATAATAATTAATATCATGAGTAAACAAACTCAGAGATGGAAAGAATGTGTTTTGAAGTTCCATAGAGACAGAAACTACATTTAATTAATTGTAGTAGCTCCTACAATGCCTAGAGCAATGTATGTCTCAAAATAAGTGCACAATTAACATTTGCTGAATGACTGAACAACAATGATGTAGGCTACAGGTAATCGCATACCAATCTTTACTGCTTCTTCTGCCTTTTTAACTTCATCTTTAAATGCTCCTTTAAAAGAAGATGTGACATAAAGATACTTTCTGGAAAGAAACAAAAAGAACATAATCAAGTCAGATTATCATTTTAAAATACATAAGACAATATTCTTTAGTAAGACTATATGCTCCAGAGATACATAATTATTAAGAAAGATTCATCGAGTGAGTTGCATCCAGCTGGTAAATTAGCAAACTTTATACCTAAGTGAATTTCCTTGCCTTTCACTACTTAGAAATGTTGTTTTTTTAAGGAAACTTCATGAGAGCGATAAGAAAATCTGCCCACACAAATGTTCACTTAGACATCTAAAATAGGATAATTTTCTTTAAAAAATTCTATGAAGTTGTTCCCTTATCAAAGTTTCTGGTTAATATGCATAGCCCTCTTACTCAGATTATGATCGACACTGGATAAACTACTTCTCCTAGTCCCAAAACAATTATCTCTAACTGCGATGCTGAGAAACACACATTCATGTATCATTTTAAATTACTAAAAGCACATTTTCTGCTTTACTGATAGAGAAACCTGTTTTCAAGGTCCATTGTTTTAGTGATGGCAAAGATGCTCTAGAACAATAAAGGAAAAAAATATACATACATATATATATCCATAAACTCAAAGAGAACAAAGCATAGGTGAGAAAAGCTCTACAGAACCTGAGGTTCTCTGAATACAGTTGAAAGTATGTGCACCTGTTATAGAAAATTCCTGGAACCGGGCTTTTAAACATTGGTTTAAATCATCATAGAGAGAAAAATTCTAGAATAATATTTGGTTTGAGAATCCTCAAAGCTCTGTAAACCCTAAATGTACATCAATAAGAAAACTTAAATAAATCATAGTGCTATGCAATATATTTAACAATGACAAAGTCTCCAAGATTTAACTGTAAGAGAAAATAAGTTGTACATAATTTTATGTTTAAAAAAACCTGTGTGTGTATGCATGCGTGTGTACATATATATAATGTATAGAAAACAATCTGGAAAGATATTTATTAAACTTCTAACAGAGATTCTCCTTTGGGGAACATTATAGATTGCTATAGCACATAATGAATCACAACTGGTAAAAGGGGCTTTTGGTTATTTGATTTTTCCCCCATATCTAATTCTGTATTGTATAAATTTTTATTAATTTTACTATTTTTATGAGGAAAATAGAACCCTTCTCCATCAAGAGAAATAAAAATATGAAGAAACACTAAGTACCTTTCAAGGCTTTGTGCTGCAGAAGTATAGAGCATGACTTAATACAGCATTTTGGGTGACTGGTTTGATCAGAACAACTTGCAGAAATTTAAACTTTCATTGACTTTAATTTTCACACTTAAAACATTTGTTCAAAATACTCTGGCCAAAATCAAATATAGTATTTTAAAATTTAAGTTGAAAAAAAAACACACTTCAAGTAAACTACAGTTCTGAACTTTTATTAACACAGAAAAAATTAGCCCCCAGTTGTAAATCATAACTGCATTGGAGTATTCAATCATTATTATTTAAGTTATAAGAGTTTACCTGGTTTAGTTATATTGTAAAAATAATTCTAATCCTTAATTATTCTTTACAACATGTAATTAGGCAGGATCAATAATTTTCTGGTTCGTATAATATTGATAGGTAGAGATGTGGACGTTGAATAGACCTCCCAAATTTAGTGTGCCTACTATGATATGAAGAGAACTCCAGCCACCATTCCTCCTAACCTCTACACTTGCACCTCCTCTATCATTCTGAAGATTTTGTTCAGGATAAAAACTCAGAAGGCCTTCTGGACTCCTCATTTTCTCTCCACCCCATATCCAATCCACTGGCAAGTCTTGCTGGCTTTACCTTCACAACATATCTGTAATCCAGACACTTTTCATCCCTTCCACTATTACCACCTGAGTTCAAGCTCATTTCTCTCCTAGAATACAGTAATAGTATCTATCCTACCTCAACTTCCCTCCTTTCTTCTTGTCCCATGAAATCAATTCTCCACTCAACAGCTAGAATAATCTTTTAAAAACATAGGTCAAGTAATGCCACTCCTCTGCTCAAGTCATTCCATTCTCAATACAGCCACTTCTTCTTGTCATGTTCCTTCAGGCCTTACCTGATCTGCCCAATCTACTTCGATCTGTTTTCTGTGTTCTAGCTAGACTAGCCTTTGATTCCTGTCTTTGCACTTACTGTCCCCTCCTTCTAGAACCATCTTCCCACAAAATTATTGCATAACTCACTGTGCTACCCACCATCCAAGATATCTCCTGTGTTTTTTTTCCTCCTGGTATTAATGCCTATGTGTGGTGCCCCCACACCCCAACACTGGTCAAATCTAGGCTGAGCTGTGGCATGGCAAAAGTGATGGTCTGTCACTTTTAAAGATGGGTTCTAAAAAGTTGCAAGTTCTACTTTCTTCTCTTGAATTGCTCACTCTGATAGAAGTCAGCCATTATGTCATGAAAATACTCAGGTGGACCTATGCAATGGCCTTTGTTAAGAGGAACTAACTTGCCCCAAAAGACACACACACTCATATGTTTATTGACACATTATTCACAATCGCAAAGACATGGAATTGGTCTAGGTGCCCATCAATGGTGGATTGGATTTTTTAAAAAGTGGTACATATACACTATAGAAGACTACACAGCCATAAAAAAGAATAAAATAATGTTCTTTGCAGTGACATAATGCAGTGGAGACCATCATCTTAAGTAAATTAACACAGAAACAGAAAAACAAGTACCTCATAGTCCCATTTATAAGTGGGAGCTACACACTGAGCACACATGGACATAAACATGAGAACAACAGACACTGGGGAATACAAGACGGGGGAGAGGGAGGCAGGGATGGGGGCATGGGTAGAAATGATCCCTATTGGGTACCATGCTCATTAGCTGGGTGACAGGATCCATACCCCAAACGTCAGCATCACACAATATACCCATGTAAAAAACCTGCACATGTACCTCCTGTATCTAAAAGTTGAAATTTAAAAAAAAGAATTACCTGATATTTTATCATCAATTTTAATTTACATGTTGTTTTTCCTCCCCCACTAGAATGTAAGCTCCATGAGAGCAGGAATTTTCTCTTTTTTTCTTTTTTTTTTTTTCTGAGACAGAGTTTCACTCAGTCGCCCAGGCTGGAGTGCAGTGGCATGATCTCAGTTCACTGCAACCTCCACCTCCTGGGTTCAAGTGAGTCTCCTGCCTCAGCCTCTGGAATAGCTGGGATTACAGGTGCATGCCACCACGCCTGGCTATGTTTTTGTATTTTTAGTAGAGATGGGGTTTCACCTTCTTGGCCAGGCTGGTCTCAAACTCCTGACCTCAGGTGATCTGCCTGCCTCGGCCTCCCAGAGTGCTGGGATACAGGCGTGAGCCACTGCACCCAGCCCAGGAATTTTCTCTTTTTGCTTTTGCCAAATGTCCAATGCCTACAAGACAGCCTTGCACATAGTGGTCATTCCATCCACTTGCTCTTACGCATTTGTATAATAACAACTACTATTGGTTAACAAACTTTTCAGAAACCTTGCTGTTTTTATGTTTAACATAAAACACTGTTTTATTTTAGCCCTCATAATAACCTCAGTGGCAGAGGAATTCCCAATTCACAGTGGAGAAGAGTAAGACTCAAGTAATTGCCAAAGGTCCACAACTAGTAAATGACAAAACCTAAATTCAAATCCAGATTTGGCTAATCCACATTTCGCTTCCAATTATCATACTGTAATAAAAGATTAAATAATTCAGCATTGTAAAAATTCAAAAATGGATGCATGGTGTACAAAAGAATCACTGTTCAAAAATTACTAGTCTGATAGGTGGGTGGGGTGTTAGCATATGGAAAGCATCCCTAAATAATGAATTCTGTTTCAGAAGCATAGTGTTGCAGAGTATTCAACAAGAGAACATAGCGTTAATGTCCCAGAATAACTTAAAAAGGACCATGCGGTTCCTATGAATGCACAGTAACACCCATCCCAACTCATTTGGGCTCCTTTCAGCATTATGGGTCTATGGTTAAGCAATGTTAATGAAGAATGTTTGTTGCCTAAAATCAAGTAACACAACCATATAATAACTTGTCTTTATTATATAAACAATATTTTAAGACTCCAAGAATTATAGACTTATAAAATGTTTAAGAGACCTGAGAAATCACCTAGAAATTTTTTCCAAAGTAATAATTTATTCTATGATCTAGACTCCTCCAGAGACAAATTTGTACACATCTTGGGTGGGAGTCCCTTCCATTGCAATATACTCGAATGGGAAGCAGCCATCACTGGATATAAGTAATTTAGGTAGATTACACTCAATTTACTAAAACTCCCTCAGAAAATAGAGACAAATCCACATTTTCCATGGACTTAAACTATTTTTTACCCAAACTCACGAGAGAAATTTAATGTGAAAAGATCGGCTATATTGATTGATCCAGGAGACACTTGGCGCTTCCCAGAAGAATGAGACTGATGAAAAGGAAACATTGCTTTGATATTTATTAGGAAATGAATGGACTGATTTATAGGGAAAGTCTCAGGATTGGTATATTTTATTTTCAAAAGATGATGGGCAGTATAATTAGAGATCAAAAGTAAAGCTTTTGCGAAATCCATTGGTGCGTGGTCAGGGAGTATGATGCAGAGATCTATAATTTTTAGTATTAATATCTTTATGAGTGATAGCAAGGCCCTACTCAGGACAGTAACTGCAGTTTCATGAAAATAAGACAAGATGACAAATGCAGACATATAATAAAGAGTTAATGTGGTATAGGAGAAGAAACATTGAATTTGGATTGGTAAAGAATTTAGAGCCAGAAGGTTTGAGTTCTTTTCTAGTTTTAACATTTCCTTATCTCTAAAATGGTGATGATAACCTAACACACAGTGTTACTGCAGAAATCAAATGAAATAGTTCAGGCAAAAAGGCACATATATAAGTAGTGTACACAAATTAAATGTTTCTCCCAATAGATATCAAGGTCCTCAAAACAAGAATTAATCTTATCTTTTTTCTATTTTTCCATAAGTTATTGGGGTACAGGTGGTGTTTGGTTACATGAGGAAGTTCTTTAGTGGTAATCTGTGAGATCCTGGTGCATCTATCACTCAAACAGTATACACTGCACAATATGTTGTCTTTTATCCCTTGCCCCTCTCCCACTCTTCCCCCTCAAGTCCCCAAAGTCCATTGTATCATTCTTATGCCTTTGCATTCTCATAGCTTAGCTCCCACATATCAGTGAGAACATAAGATATTTGATTTTCCATTCCTGAGTTACTTCACTTAGAATAATAGTCTCCAATCTCATCTAGGTCATTGCAAATGCTGTTAATTCATTCCTTTTTACTGCTGAGTAGCATTCCATTGTGTGTATATATATATACCACAGTGTCTTTATCCACCTGTTGACTGATGGGCATTTGGGTTGGCTCCATGATTTTGCCATTGTGAATTGTGGTGCTATAAACATGCATGTGCAAGTATCTTCTTCAAATAACTTCTTTTCCTCTAATCTCAAACTCACAGAAAAATCTGATAAATGTTTGGTGTGTAAATGAAAGACTACCCAGAAACCACATCAAGAAAATGACCATTCTGATGGCATGCATGGTTGGAAAAAATGGATATTATAATATGTAAATATAAACTTAAAGGCCGGGCCTGGTGGGTGGCCAAGTGCAGTGGCTCACGCCTGCAATCCCAGCACTTTGGGAGGCCAAGGCAGGTGGATCAGTTGAGGTCAGGAGTTTGAGACCAGCCTGGTCAACATGGTGAAACCTCATCTCTGCTAAAAATACAAAAATTGGCCAGGCGTGGTGGTGCACGCCTGTAATCCCAGCTACTGGGGAGGCTGAGACAGGAGAATCACATGAACCAGGGAGGCAGAGGTTGCACTGAACCAAGATTGTGCCACTGCACTCCAGCCTGGGTGACAAGAGAGACTCTGTCTCAAAACAACAACAACAAAACCTTGAAAACATTTATGTTAAAGTAAAAAAACACACAAAATATAAATCAACCAGATACATATTTATAAATATATTCATTCTATATGTATAATATAAATATGTATATATATGGTTTAATAGTTCAAATGTATTGTGTAAACAGAAGATATACGTGAACTGTGATCATTTAGTGGAACTAATCACTGTCATAGTACCTAAAATTCACTGAAGTAAAAAACAAATTTCTACTCGGGGTGATGATCTAACTTAGCATGCTCACTGCAGTATGTTTCTATTACTGCCAAATATTTGTTCACATCCAATTACTCTTTAGCATCCCTTCCTGGATGTGGTTTAAATTTTGTTTACAATGTAAAAATCTTACTATCAAAGTCAATGTCCTCACTTTGACAACTTTGGGGAGCATATCAATTTTATAAATAAAAACTCTGTGAAGATAACTGAAGAAAGATGAGTTACCTGGGTCTGTAGAGGCAATAGCAAAGATGTTTAGTTTTAACTCTCTTGGCTTGAATGAATATTCTCATCCATGGGTTAAAATACAGAACAGATGTGTAGGCTCTGAATGACCACCTCGCTGGGAAACTGAAATAGAAAATACAAAATGTCACAATACAGAGGACACAACAACTACATCTCTTTGAGAAGAAATAACATCAGACTATCAGGTTATTATTGTTACTACAAGAAGCTTCAAGAACTTTTCTTCTAAAACTAATGACACCACAAACACCAGCAAATATCACAACACTCACTTCATTAAGGAGGCCTCTAAACACAAGGCCCAACACAAATAACCTACACTTTGGTTACAACTGAACTTTTGTTGGCAACCAACTTATTCTAAGTAGACTTATAACAGCAATCTAAAATATACTTTCCATTAAAGCTGTTGACCTAGGAGAACAAAGTCAAGTCAAATCAACAAAACAATCCCTCGTTCAAACATAACAAAAAGAATCTAGGCTCACATGAATAAAAAGCATTCCCATTAAGTCCTTATAAACAGAGAAATACAGTAAAAATGTTTCATTTGCTTTCAAAATTATGAACAAGAAACATAAAACTTCATTCCATAAGTGCAATAAGTATTAAAATAAGTATTTATGGCCAGCTGAGGGGAAGCATCTGACCACACGATAATGAAAAAGGAGAAAAGAGAAAAATAAAGAATCGGAAGGCAATAAAACGGAAGCAAAACCAACATAAATAGCCTATGAAGAAAACTACCCTTGTAAAGCTGCATTTTGGGAAATCGCCATGTCATTGTATACTTATAACTCCAGGGAACTTCTATATTAAAGTCCGTTTATGAACTGTAAATCCTCTCCAATAAGATAGGAAATAAAGATCCACAACAAGCCCAGCCATGCTGAAGAAGCGATGCTCTTTACTACTCGGTCACAGAAAAGGCTACTCCACAAGGTCAAATGGAAAGCAGAAAGCAGTAAACCCATCATTTTTACACTTGTATCTCAGTCCAGAATAAGACAAAGATGATGGGAAAAAAAAAAATGTGAAGCCCGTCTAAAGGGGAACTACTCAACAGGTTAACATTATTGCCAGTAACTCAGTAAGACAGGCAGAGCTCCAAGGAATTTTCGAAAATGAAGATGAAGCCATAAGAAATTCAAGAATTGCCTGGTTGGTTTTAAGTTCCTTCAGGCAGGATCTGAAGCTCATTAAAAAGTCAGGAATTCATCTTAATTGTTCCAAAGGAAATTCTCTTAAATAAGTCTTGAGCAGAATTTTCCCAGTATAAATTACATATTAGTATCTAGTCCATCACTCTTATTCCCTAAATATTAATACTAGTGTATTTTTTAATGTAACAAGATAGGCTGTCTGTATTCGAGTGTTGCACTACAAATACAATAATGTGGCTGCTTTTAGTATACCCAGAACTGCACAATTAAGTATGTCCTCACCTGATAAAAGAAACGGAAAGAAGTTACCTTGGGATGCTTGCCATTGTTTAAATCCTTTCTGGATCTCCTGATGTTAAATTGCTCTTGTAGCTCTTTCTTCTGACTCTCTTCAAAACTGATACGTCTTTATCATTTGAAGGTAAAAAAGTCAAAAGTAATTCAGAGCCAACTTTGAGAATTTGAGAAATATGGTGAGAGATAAAACCAGCTAAACATATATATACACACACACATATATGTGTGTATATATATACATGAACACTAATACTTCTACCTTTTAATAGCTCAATTTATTCACTCATTCAGTAACTAGTTATAGGTAAATATTCATAGCATGCATGTTGGGGATCTTCAAGGTCTCCCCTATGTTAGGAGATTCACTGGAAGGACTCATGGGCCTTAGCACACAATTGTACTCATGCCTTCGACATCACAGTGCTGCAGTGAGGACACACAGTGGCTGACAAGGGAAAAAAAATAGGTGGAGTCTGGAGGAATCTGTCTGCTAGCTTTCCTACATTCTCTCCTTCTCATGAAAGTTCACATACAGCATAATTTTCTCAAAGCTATAAAAATGCAGCAACATGTGTGTGATGTTTCCATCTAGGATAGCTTATTAGAGACTTAGCATCCAAGGTTTTTATTGGGAAGCTAGCCACACAGGCACCTTCAGCCCAGCATGTAGCGAAGTTCCAGAGTCCCAGAAGGAGAGGAGGTTTGCATATAAGCCATATGGTTTGCATATCTAGACACAGCAAGCCACTGTTATCAGCTAGGAAAGGTTTTATGTCATTGTAGGAAACTGTTTACCAGGCAAGTTCCCAAAAGCTGGCCACAGACCAATTTTGCAAGCAAGCCTTTCTAAGAATAGACACCTGCTATGTTAACCCTTTTCTCTCACATGCCTACTTTTAGAAGTTCCTGTTTATTTGTGACAAAAAGAAGGGTACTACCTCTTATTTGTGATGCTTTTAATAAAAAGAAGGCAAAGAGGGCTAAATATAAAACCTGTAAGTGAAATGGGCCACGTCATTATAAACGTCAAACTTTTTAATGTGATGCATAAGATCCTTCATGGTCTGACCCCCGCTTAATTCTCCAGTCTCATCTCTTGTCTTCAGCCTGGCCATTTAGGACCATTCTCAGTTCTCCAGCCATGCAATCAGGCTTTCTTATCCCCAAGGCTGGCATATTCAGTTCTTCAGCCACTCTTGCTTGGCGCACCCCTTTTCACCCTGCGGTATACAACTTGAAACTGCACTTCCTTTCGAAGCCTTCCCTCAGCCCCGAGAGAGATGAAGTGCTCTCCTTTGTGCTCCCCTCCTTCTGTACTTCCCGCCGTCAAGGCACCTGCCACTCAGTGCTGTCATCCTCTGTCTATGCATCTGCATCCCCAACTGGCTGTGAGATCCATGAAGCTAGCGCTCTCATCAATAAAAATATGTTGAATAAATGACAATCATTCAGGACTTCCCTGGCTTAATTTGGAATAAACAACAGAGGTTCCTTATGTATGACGGATTATCTTCAATGGCAATGCTACCACTCTTTACAAATAAAGCCGTCCACTTAGGAAAGGGAGATAAAAACATGCTAAATCGTCAGGATATCTTCAGAAGATGAAAGGAAAAAATACTATTACTCCACACTCACCAGGAACTGTTTCCATGTATTCTTCAAGAGTATTTCTTCCTGTTTCCTTCTAAATACCTTTGTTTCCTGTCTCCTTACACTTTGTCAGAAGTGTCCATATCTCTATCTTTCTCTCTCATTTTCTATGTAACTGGCTACGATAAGAAACTGAAGAAAGGAAGAGACAGAACAATCTCCCTCAACACACACACACACACACACACACACACACATACACACACACACACACACAGTCACAGGACAGATGTGGGGAAAGAGGAGAGTATTTCAAGGCAGAAACTGGCTTCATAGTCTGTGGATATAATAGGAGGGCATGGAGTAGAATCAATGCTTTTGTCCCCTGCTCAGCACTGGGTATTCTTAACAGTCTCTAATTTAGCCCCTACCTGTGGCTGTGCTTTCTGTGTGGCCTCTTGCTTCTCCCAATCTGTCCACAGTATTCTGCTGCTGTTTTAAATGCTGCTCCATGTGCCATGCATCATGGGTGGATCAATGTGTTGCAGTCATCAAACTGTGTTAAGGGCAGTGAAGGAGCCAGAAACTAATGTTCTGTGGCTAAGGCCATAGCTCCTTATCTGCTGATTCAGATTCTCTGTGGCTGGAGTCTGGAAACGTGAGGTTTTTAAAGCTACCCAGGTGATTCCTTTGATTCTGCCACTTTGATTGGACACCACTGCCTACCTGACCTAGTGGACAGGGTAGTATGTAAGGCAGGTTGCCACAAAGAGGGGAGGAGAACAGTCTCTCACAGGTGTTTGGACCTAGACACGAGCTGAGAAATACAACTCCTCCATTATTCACACTGGGCACACAGACAACAGACCCCCATCTAGCCCAACAACTGGGCTACTTTTCCTGGATTGAGAAAATGACTCTAAACTGCAGACTACATTAGGTCCCTTTTGCAATATCTCAGAAGTGCCATATTTTTATTCGTGAAAATATTACATAACCAAAATTGTTTTCTAAATTACTCAAGTCCTTACAAAATCTCTGAAGACTTTTTGAAGTTGAAATTAACAGGGTTTGTATTATCTTGAATATAAACAAGTGCATAAAGATTTTTAACTAGTTTAAATTCTGAACTTTGAAGGGGGTAACCAAATTTAATATTAGGGTAGATTAAACCTATGAGAAATGTCAACTCGAAGAGGTAATTTTTTTAAAAAAGTTATAAGCTACACAAAGTAATGAAAGTGTTTCTTTTGTGACAACCACAGTATGGCAAGCAGCACATTAGAACAATTTGAAGCTATAACTTTTGATGTGTTCCTGGGCAGCTCAGTTAAGACATAAAAAGTAGAGACATGGAATGCTGCCCAATGACTGTCAATTTAGAAACATGCTGGCAACGTGGCACCTAATTTTAAAACATTACTTAGCACAAAATTTCAACTGCATTACTCTGTATTATATCATCACTCTCAGAGCTGTTTTTTGGATGGGTTTTTCTAGCTGCCTGAGATCGATCCCGAGCCATGGCGGATTTCAGGGATGTGGCAAGCCCCTTTGATGACAGCCAATTGCATGGCATGCCTTTTTTACTAGGGGCTGTGCTTTTTTCTAGTTTCTTACAAAGTTGAGTGATTAATATTTGTAATGTTTTGAAGATAGTTAAGTCACTGAAAGCAACATGAGCACACAAAAATAATATGAAAAAGAGACAAGGTGAAATGGACACATGGTCCTCACCTCCAAAAAAGGAATCAAGAAAGATGATATAAGGGGTGATCTGGCCTTCACAGTTTGGAACTTGAAAGAGATTTCAAAGGTAACAGAAGTACTTTACAAAATCTTTTAAATTCCCTCTCTCACCCTAATGAAGATCTCCAATGATCTTTAAGGATGAAGGACAATGGAACTGACATCGAGAGTCTAAACACCTTACAGTGAAAGCATTTGTCATGTCCTTAGAAAATTATCTAGACATTGACATTCAAATCAATTTACTTGAATGTAATTCATTTTTTATTTGCTATGTACCAGACACTGACTTACTTTCCACAGCATGATAGTAAGCTAGAAAGAGGTGTTGTAGGAAAAAGTAGAATGAGGGGAATTGTGGGGATTACTAAAATGTACAGAGATTTTCCATTTGCCTGGTACTGTGCCTGTTCTATTTAAACAGCTTCCATATGAAGTAGATGATGTTATAGCCTTATTTTATAGATGGGAACAGAGAATTTTGGAGACTGAAGATAACTTGCCACTAGAATTAAAGCTCTCCCAACAGAACTCAAGTCACTCGATGGCATATCAACCTAGAGTTCTGGTCTCTTCAATTTGCTCCTACAGAACTGAATTCAAAGATCTGATGTCCATGTTTTCTAGTTCTATACATACGTCACTGTACAAAATAAGTCATATGGCAGTAGACAATCAATATCTCCCAGCCATTCAATTACACCTAATGTCTCTGCTGATAGATCATGCCATTATGTAAAAGAATATCCTTTTGGAAAAATGAAGACATTTACAGAATCAGGCTAGTAGACTAAGAATACATATTATTCTCCTGCTGAAATTCAAGGAAGACTATTAATAGTGTGAAGAATAAGAAAACTATATGACCCACTGACAGACACACAATGGGAATTATTAAAAGTTAAGAGAAAATATTTGCCCATGCCTACGTCCTGAATGGTATTGCCTAGGTTTTCCTCTAGAGTTTTTATGGCTTTAGGTCTTATGTTTAAGTCTTTAATCCATCTTAATTTTTATATAAGGTGTAAGAAAGGGGTCCAGTTTCAGTTTTCCGCATATGGCTAGCCAATTTTCCCAACATCATTTATTAAATAGGGAATCCTTTCCACATTGCCTGTTTTTGTCAGGTTTGTCAAAGATCAGATGGTTGTAGATGTGTGACATTATTCCTGAGGCCTCTGTTCTGTTCCACTGGTCTATATATCTGTTTTGGTACCAGTACCATGCTGTTTTGGTTACTGTAGCCTTGTAGTATAGTTTGAAGTCAGGTAGCATGATGCCTCCATTGTTCTTTTTGCCTAGGATTGTCTTGGCTATATGGGCTCTTTTTTTGGTTCCATATGGAATTTAAAATAGTTTTTTTTTTATTCTGTGAAGAAAGTCAATGGTAGCTTGATGGGGATAGCATTGAATCTATAAATTACATTGGGCAGTATGGCCATTTTCATGATATTGATTCTTCCTATCCATGAGCATGGAATGAAAACACCAAAAGCAATGGCGACAAAAGCCAAAATTGACAAATGGGATCTAATTAAACTAAAGAGTTTCTGCACAGCAAAAGAAACTATCATCAGAGTGAACAGGCAACCTACAGAATGGGGGGAAATTTTTGCAATCTATCTATCTGACAAAGGGCTACTATCCAGAATCTACAAGGAACTGAAACAAATTTACTAGAAAAAAACAACCCCATCAAAAAGTGGGCAAAAGATATGAACAGACACTTCTCAAAAGAAGACATTTATGTGGCCAACAAACGTATGAAAAAAAGCTCATCATCACTGGTCATTAGAGAAATGCAAATCAAAACCACAAAGAGATACCATCTCACGCCAGGTAGAATGGCAATCATTAAAAAGTCAGGAAACAGATACTGGAGAGGATGGGGAGAAATAGGAACACTTTTACACTGTTGGTGAGACTGTAAATTAGTTCAACCATTGTGGAAGACAGTGTGGCAATTCCTCAAGAATCTAGAACCAGAAATACCATTTGACCCAGCAATCCCATTACTGGGTATACACCCAAATAATTATAAATTATACTACTATAAAGACACGTGCACACGTATGTTTATTGCAGCACTATTCACAATAGCAAAGACTTGGAACAAACCCAGATGCTTATCAATGACAGACTGGATAAAGAAAATGTGGCACATATACACCATGGAATACTATGCAGCCATAAGAAAGGATGAGTTCATGTCCTTTGCAGGGACATGGATGAAGCTGGAAACCATCATCCTCAGCAAACTAACACAGAAACAGAAAACCAAATACCACATGTTCTCACTCATAAGTGGGAGCTGGACAATGAGAACGCATGGACACAGGGAGGGGAACATCACACACCAGGGCCTGGCGGGGGATCGGGGACTAGGGGAGGGATAGCATTAGGAGAAATACCTAATGTAGATGACAGGTTGATGGGTGCAGCAAACCACCATGGCATGTGTATACCTATGTAACAAACCTGCAAGTTCTGCACATGTATCCCAGAACTTAAAGTATTAAAAAAAAAAAAAAAGTTAAGAGAAAATCCTGAAAGTTCTCCAGAGGAAAAAAATAAGTAATTTACAATAATTTGGTAATCACATTTCTATCAGACTTCTGATCAACAACATGTATTCAAGAAGTCAAAGAAGCAAATAGTTCTAAGGGAAACTATTTTTGAACCAATATTTCTATAACCATTTAAACAAATATTGAAGTGGAAGGGAAAAATAAAGACACTTGTAGAGATACAAAGCTTCCAACAGACTCTGAAAGAATCATTTCGGGATATAATAAAGCAAATTGACTAATAAATCCAAGAAAGAAGATACAGGATGGAAGATATAGTAGTAAACAAACACACAAAAAACAAATCTTCTAATTTAGTCTAAATAATTGTTCATGTCTGATGTAATAAAAATGTGTAATTAAAATCCTACAAAAAATAATTTTAAAAGGTGGAACTGGAAAGGAAGAAAGATAAATACATACTAAGACCATATCTTATTTGTGAAATGAAATACATACTAATTAACTCTACAGTTTGAAAATAAAATCATAAGTTTAGACATGTTTATTAAAAATGTAAAACTAATCCACTGAAAGTATATAATGGAGCAACTAATTTGCAAATCATTAGAATAGAAAAAAAATAAACTTTTCCTTTTGGGAAAAAAACCACAACTCAATTATTATCAAAAAGTGGGGAGAGAAAAAATAAAGCAGAATAAAATAAATTAAAAAATAAGAAAGCTCAAATAACAACAAAAGAAGCAAGGCAAATACAACGTATAAGCAGGCAGAGCAAGTCCAGCCATAGCAGATGTCACAGTAAGTGTGAATTAGCTAAAAGACAGAAGCAGTTAGAATAAGCAAAAAAAAAATCTAGTTATATGCTGTTTGTAACAGACAAATCAAAATCAAAATATCACTGCTGGAAAGAAAGTGGTGGCAAAATACACAGTAGGAAAATGTTAACCAAGAAAAAGCAAGTCTAGAGAGATTAATATTAGACAAAAAAGAAACGAAGTGGGGGAAATAACAGACACAGACGGGCATTATGTATTAATAAGAGCTTCACTTAAGATTACACATAAGTCACAATCTAATGACTCAGACAAATAGATAACAAAAACTAGTAGAAATACAAAATGTATGTACATAGCAATAAATATTGTAGAAGATTCTAACATACTGCTCTCAGAAACCGAGCAATGAAGAAGAAAAAAAGACATGGAAGATTTGAATACTTAATTAAAATATGTATGCAAATGAAATGGATAGAGCTCTGTCCTTATCAGAGATTCACTTTTAAAAAAATGTTTAAGACATAAGCCCATAAGAAAATCTGAACAGATTTCAAAGAGCAGATATAATACAGGCTAGATTCTCTGACCACCATACAATTAGAGCAACAATAAAAAGATATCTGACTCCTCTCTCCAAAAAGCAAACATATGCACTAGTAGATTTAAAACATTTTTAAAAAGCAACTCTTGAATAAGAGGAAATCAAAATAAAATTATAAGCTATTTAGAAATAAACAACAGTAAGAGTTCTATATTTTGAAACCTGTAGAATACAGCTATTATATAACGCAGAGGAGAAATAAGAACCTTATTGTTTAGATTAGAAAATGAAATTTAAAGTCAATGAATAAAACACATACCTCAAGGAAGTAGAAAAAGAAAAATAAACAAATCCAAAAAAGATATAAGAAAATAAAGAAATGTAAAATAAAAGTAATCCCAGCAGACTTAATTTTAAAAATCCAAAACTGTTTTATTTTTAAAGTCAATTGAAATAAATTTCTTTGGCCAAGAAAGAGAGATGGGAGAATACATGATATAAGAAGAAAAAGTGAACAAAATCTATCAGAGGAAAACATAAATTTTATAAAAACTCCATGTCAACAAACTGGAAAATATAAATAAAATGAATGTTTTTATAAGAAATTATAAATGACAAATTTAAGCCCCAAAATTCCAAAATCTGAATAGAATAACAGTCTTAGCACCATTAAAAAGTAATAAAAGAAATAAAGTAATAAGGCAACCAGATTTTCAAGGAAGTTCTAAAAAATCTATGGGCAGACAAAAGACTCACTTTACGTAAACTCTTCCAAATAATAGAAATGGGGGAAGAAATTCCCAACTCATTCTATGAGGCTACCATAATCTATATACCAATCAATACTAAATAAGGAAATGATAATAAAAGCACAGTTACAGCCAGTCTCATGTGCAAACATAAAAGCAAAAAATTTAAAGGATCAACAAAATGAACACAGTCATGTAAAAGAATAATACATCATGATCTTGTTGGGTTTATCTGAGGAATGCAAAGATCACTCAACATCATAAACTCTCTCATAATAAAACACTACTTTAAAGGAGAAAAACAAAACTAAATCACTTCAACAGATGTCAAAAAGCATTAAAATTGAAACCTGTAGAATACAGCTATTATGCAGAAAAGAATAAGAATCACATTTCCTCACACAAAAAAATAAATAAAACAAAATGTACTCTATAAACTGAAAATACATTTCTCAATTTCACAAAAGCCATTGATTAAAAAGAATAGTAACTAGAATAAATATCACATATAATAGTCAAACATAAAAAATGCCATTAAGACAAAAACAAAGCAAAGAAGCATACCTACTATTACCACTTCTATTTAACTAGCCAACTAAATTAAGAAAAAAGAAAAAGGATGAGCAACAGAAGACACAAAATCACAAAGCTGTCCTTATTTGCAGATGATAAGACTATACAGAAAATCTAATGAAAACTATTAGAATAAAAGAGTTCAGTAAGTGGTCAGATATAAAATCAACAGGCAAACATCAATGGTTTTTAACAAATGAATAATTAGAAAAGCAACGGAGGAAAAAAATCTTATATGAATACCAAGAAGAGTCATAAAATACCCAAAAATATACCTAACAAGAAATATACTAGAACTATATGAAGAAGTAATAACAGCTAACAATCACTGAGTACATATTATGTGTCAGGTAGTGTCCTAAGCACTTTTCATGTCATAAATCACTTAATCTTCTCAACAACCCCTGGATATAATACTATTATTTTTATCAACATTATTTTCAGATAAATAAACTGAGGTCCTGTGAGGCTAAATTCCTTTCCCATATCATGTATTAGTCCATTTTCACACTGCTGATAAAGACATACCTGAGACTGGGCAATTTACAAAAGAAAGAGGTTTAATTGGACTTACAGTTCCACATGGCTGGGGAAGCCTCACAATCATGGCAGAAGGCAAGGAGGAGCAAGTCACGTCTTACATGGATGGCAGCAGGTAAAGAGAGAGAGAGTTTATGCAGGGGAATTCCTCTTTTTAAAACCATCACATCTTGTTGGACTTACTATCACAAGAACACCACAGCAAAGACTTGCCCCCATGATTCAATTACCTCCCACCAGGTTCCTCCCACAACATATGGGATTTCAAGATGAGATCTGGGTGGGGACACAGCCAAACTATCACCATAATAATACAGCTTATAGAACTATAAACTGAACCCAGACAGTCCTTCAAACTCCTGTATTTAATTACTATGATATATTATGATGTTATAAAACTCCATTCAATTATATAAAAGAAGATTGGAATAAGAACCAACGTATAAGTGTGCCAGTTCTCTCCCATTTAATTATAAATTCAAGGAACTACCAATCAAAATCCCAAGAGCATTTTATAATAAAACTTGAAAAGCTGATTTTTAAAATTCAGATAAAAAAAGAATATTTGCAAGAATAGCAAATAATGATTTTTAAAAGAACAGTGAAAGAAAGGCTTGGTATTTGCCCTTCTAAATATTAAAATACATTATAAAGGCTGTAGCAATTAAGTTCTAATGGGGCAGGAAGTGAAAAATATATCAATGAAAAGGAATAGTTCATCCAGAAACAGAACCATGTATGATAAAAATTTAGTTTATAGTACTGATTTATTTCACATAAGTGGAAAAGGCTGAACTATTTCATAAATATAGATTTATTAGAACAATATTAAATTAATCCTTCACCCTCCATGTACACACACTTTGCACCATATTCAAAAACAATCAAGATAGATTAAAAGACTATAAAGAAATAAACTAAGATTCTTAGAGTAAATTATAAGAGAATACATCTAAATCATGGTTAAGGAAAGCATTTTTGAGCTGAAAATTACAAAATAAGAAAAACAAAGAAAAATGTTGACAGATACAAGCTCAAAAAAATTGAAAAATTTTATAAGACAAATAACAATGCTGAAAGTCAGATTGAGAGACTTCTGCTTCCAAAATGGTGGTGCAGAAGTAGAAGCAAGCTGGCTTCACATTCCCCACAACAGAAAACCAAAAACAAATAGACAGTGCCAAAATTAATACCAGCAATACCACAGAACTCAAATATCAGGATGGGAAAGTTTCCAGAGCATAGTGAAATGAAAAAATTCTTAGCAGATGGTACAAGAATTAAACTTTTTTTTTTTTTTTTTTTTGAGACAGAGTCTCACTCTGTCACCCAAGCTGGAGTGCAGTGGCACGGTCTTGGCTCACTGCAACCTCCACCTCCCAGGTTCAAGTGATTCTCCCACCTCAGCCTCTGAATAGCTAGGACTACAGGCATGTGCCACCACACCCAGCTAAGTTTTGTATATTTACTAGAGACAGGGTTTCAGTATGTTGGCCAGGCTGGTCTCGAACTCCTGACCTCGTGATCTGCCTGCCTCGGCCTCCCAAAGTGCTGGGATTACAGGCGTGAGCCACTGCGCCCAGCCAAGAATTGAACTTTCATACCCATGATGATCTTTCCCCCAATCTGCCCATCTTCTAATATGCAGAAAATTTCCTCCTGACTCACAGTTTCTATACCAGAAAAAGTGAGAGCAAGGTGAACAACCAGCTTCCCCACTATCCTGGGTTCCCCAGCAGGAGATCTGTCCCTGCTTCAATCCACGAGAAGCCTCACAAGTGTCTGGAGGGAGAAACGTCCTTGAGGACAGTAGGAAACTACTGTCCTCAGCCCTGGAAACTGTGCTAGGTAACTCAGACAAATCAAGTGGCCGTTCAGCAGCATCACACTGCAGGAAGTATGTTCCACAGGTCCCTTGGGCACAAACCCCCAGCCAACCTTCCCACACTGCTGGGGAATCCCCCTTAGGACTTTCCCTATTTAGGACAGGGCAGTGCTCTGATGATTTACTAGAGCCAAGGCCAACCTGGGTTATAGCACCACCTAGTGCCGAAAAGAAGGCAGCAACCTAGGAGAAAAATTTAAAAAAAAAAAAACCACCAGGTAAATTACGAATAATCTTCAAGCAAACATACCCAGTGAAAACAAAACAAAACAAAAACCAGACAGAGAAGACTGGGAGAGGTCATTAATCCTTCAGTGCAAAGACATAGATGTACATCCACAAGAAACAACAGCAAACAGAGAAGCAGGACCTGCCCAAACAAAGCAAGGAATCAGTGACTGACCCTAGTGAAAAAGCAATATGTGAGCTCTCGGATAAAGAATTAAAAATAATAGTTTTAAGGAAACTCAGTGGTCTCCAAAGTAACACAAAAAAGTAATTCAGTAATTAAAGAAATTTAATAAAGTGATTGAAATAACTTAAAAATCAAACAAATCTTGGAACTGAGAAATATACTTACTGAACTAAAAAATTCATTCAAGGCTCTGCACAACAGAATAGATCAAGTAGAGGAAATAATCTGTGAGCTCAAAGATAGGTTATTTGAAAATACACAGAGGAGCAAAAAGTAAAAAAAAATGAAAGAAACAAAGATGCCTACAAGATACAGAAAATTACCTCGAAAGACCAATCTAAGAATTACTGGTGTTCAAGAGGGAATAAAGCAAGAGCAAGGGTTAGAAAGCTTACTCAAAGAAATAATAACAGAAAATTTTCCCAAACTTGAGAAAGAGACCAATATCCAGGTATGGAAGCTCAGAAAATACCAAACAGATCCAACCCAAATAAGACTACCCCAATGCATATAAGAATCAAACTCTCAACAGTCAAAGACAAAGAGAGAATCCTAAAAGCAGCAAGAGGAAAGAAGCAAGTAACACATAAAGGAGCTCCAATTCGTCTAGCAATATACTTTTCAATGGAAATCATACAGGACAGTAGACAGTGAAACAATATTTTCAAAGTGCTGAAAAAAATGCTGCTATTCAAGAACACTGCATCCAGCAAAGCTATCCTTCAAATATAAAAGACAGATACAGCATTTCCTAGACAAACAAAATTCATCACCACCAGACCCATCTTACAAGAAATGCTAAAAGTATTTTTTCAATCTGAAAAAAACAAAATACTAAGGTAAAGAAAAAAAAAAACCTTTTCGAGATACAAGATCCACTGGTAAAATTAATTACATGAACAAACCCAGAATACTATAATTGTGGTGTACAATCTACTCATTATGCTAGTATGAAACCCAAAAGACAAATCTATCAAAAACAATAATATCTACAGCAACCTGTTAAGAGATAGTAATATAGTGCTGGGCGCAGTGGCTCACGCCTGTAATAAGAAGGTGCCCATCAAAGAAAATCCCAGGACCTGATGTCTTCACTGCTGAATTGTACCAAACATTTAAAGAAGAACTAATACCAATTCTACTCAAACTCTTCAAAAAAACTGAAGAGGAAGGAATTCTTTCAAACTCATTCCACAAGGCCAGCATTGCCCTGATACCAAAACCAGACAAATACAACCAAAAAGGAAAACTACAGGCCAATGTCACTGACGAACACAGATGTAAAAATCCTCAATAAAATACAAGCAAATCGAATTCATCAACACATTAAAAAGATCATTCATCTTTATCAAATGAGATTCATCCCAGGGATGGAAGGATGCTTGAACATATGCAAATAAATAAACGTGAAACATCACATTAACAGAATCAAGGAGAAAACCCTAGGATCATTTCAATTGATGATGAAAAATCATTCAAGAAAATTCCACATCCCTTTATGATAAAAACCCTTAATAAACTGTGTAAAGAAGTAATATACCTCAAAATAATAAAAACTATGTATGATAAACACATAGTTAACATTATACTGAATGAGGAGAAATTGAAAGCCTTTCCTCTAAGATCTGAAATAAGACAGGGACACCCACTGTCACCACTTTTATTCATAATACTGAAAGTTCTGGTCATAGCAATTAGCCAAGAGAAAGAAATATGGGGCATTCAAACCAGAAAGAAAGAAGTCAAATTAGCCTTGTTTCAGAATGATGTGACCTTATATTTACAAAAAACTAAAGACACCACCAGCAAACTGTTAGAACTGATAAATTAATTCAGTAAAGTGGCAGAATACAAAAGCTGCATACAATTAGTAGCATTTCTATATGCCACCAGCAAACAATCTAAAAAAGAAATCAAGAAAGCAATCCCATTTATAATAGCTACAAAGAATATAAAACACCTAGAAGTCAATTTAGCCAAAGAAGTGAAAGATCTATACAAAGAAAATTATAAAATACTTATGAAAGAAACTGAAGAGAATTTGAAACATAATGGAGATATTCCTCACTCATGAATTGGAAGAATTAATGTTGTTAAATATTAAATACCACCCAAAGCAATTTACACATTCAATAGAATATCAAAATACCAGTGGTATTCTTCACAGAAATAGAAGAACAATCCTAAAATTTATATGGAACCACAGAAGACACTGAATAGCCAAAGCAATCCTGATCAAAAAAAACCAAAGAACATCACACTACATGACTCCAAAATACACTACGAAATTATAGTAACCAAATCAGCATGGTACTGGCACAAAAACAGACACAGAACAATGGAACAGAAGAAGACACAACCCAGATATAAATCCACACATTTATAGCCAACTCATTTTTGACAAAGCCATCAAAAATGTGCAAAGGGGAAAGGACAGTTTCCTCAACAAACGGTGCGGGGAAAATTGAATATACATATGCAGAAGAATGAAACTAGACCCCTATCTCTCATCATATACAAACATCAAATCAAAGTGAATTAAAGACTTAAATGTAAGACCAAAAACTATGAAACTACTAGAAAGCTAGCTAGAAAACATTGGGGAAACTCTCCAGGAAATTGATCTGGGCAAAGGGGTGTGTCTGTGTCTATCTGTCTGTCTGTCTGTGTATGTGTCTGTGTGTGTGTGTCTATCTGTGTATGTGTCTGTGTGTGTGTGTCTGTCTGTGTATGTGTCTGTGTGTGTGTAAGAACTCAAAAGCAAAGGTAATTAAAACAAAAATAGACAAATGGCATTACATCAAGCTAAAAAGTTTCTGCAAAGCAAAGAAGATAGTCAACAAAGTGATGAGACAACCTGCAGAATAGGAGAAAATATTTGCAAACTATCCACCTGACAGAAGATTAATATCCAGAATATATAAGAAGCTCAAACAACTCAATGGCAAAATACCAAATAATCTTATTTTAAAATGGGCAAAAGACCCGAATAGACATTTCTCAAAAGACAACATACAAATAGCCAAAGGTATATGGAAAAATGCTCAACATCACTAATCATCACAGAAATGTAAACCAAAACCACAATGAGATATCATCTCACCCCAATTAAAATGGCTTTTATCCAAAGACAGGGAATAATGGATACTGGTGAGGATGTGGAGAAAGGGGAACCCTCGGATGCTGTTGGTAGGAATGTAAATTAGTACAGCCATTTTGGAGAATAGTATGAAGGCTCCTCAAAAAACTAAAAATAGAACTACTATATGATCCAGCAATTCCATTACTGGAAAGAAACTGAATCTATCAAAGAGATATCTGTATTCCCATGTTTACTGCAGCACTATTCAACATAGCCAAAATACGGAATCAACCTAAGTGCCCATAGTGGATGAATGCATAAAGAAATGTTGTACATATACACAACAGAATACTACTCAGCCATAAAAAAGTATGAAATCCTGTCACTGTAGCAACATGGATGAAATTGGAGGTCATTACGTTAAGTGAAATAAGCCAAGCACAGAATGACTAATATAACATGTTCTCATTCATATGTAGGAGCTTAAAAAGTGAATCTCATTAAGATAGAGAGTAGAATGGTAGTTACCAGAGGCAAGGTAATAGGATGGGGATGAAGAAAGGTTGATTTAATGGGATGAAATATACAGTTAAATAGAAGAAATAAGACCTACTGTTCAACAGATCAATAGGGTAACTATAGTTAACAATCATCTGTGGTACAATTCAAAATAGCTAGAAGAGAATAATTAGAATGTTTGTAGCATAAAGAAAAGAAATATTTAAGGGGATGAATATCCCAATTACCTCTATTTTAACTTTACAAATTATATGAATGTATCATATACCCTGAAAATATGTATATCTATTATTTACCAATATACTCTTTTAAAGTTATTTTTTTAAGTCGAGTTGATGGAGAAAGGAGGAAGTGTGTATAATTATAAAGGGTAATATAGGGGATATTTGTAGAGATGCATTGGTGGATTTCTATCAAACCTGATGGATTGTGTTCATGCCCTGGTTCGCGTCCTGGTTATCATATTGTACCTTGGTTTCGCAAAACGCCACCATTGAGGAAATTACAACCACTTAACCCAGTAATAGTATTTCTGAGAATCAACAGTAAATAAATACTTGTCTAAATGTCTAACAATTTAAGTATAAAGACTGACATTGTTCCCAAAAGTGAAAAATTAAAATCAACCTGAATGCCCACCAACAGAGAAGTACTGATGTACAGGTGGACCATCCCTTATCTGAAATGCTTGGGACAGGCATGTTTCAAATTTCTAATTTTTCAGATGTTGGTAAAATATCAACATTTGGGAAATCTGGATGAAAGATACATGGGAATTTTCTGTATTATCTTTAAAACTTTGAAAAGTCAAATTATTTCAAAATTTTAAAAATGGTAAGTTATATCTAATATAAAGTGACAGATAATAAATATCTAGAAGATAGATTTAAATCCCAAGTAGCAAAATAATTTCTACAGTAGAAGAGAGACTGGGGGAGCTGAGGTGGAAAATGAGGACGCACTTTTACATTGCTTTACCTGTTTATGAAAGTTTAAATATTTTTCAATGAGTTAATATTTGTAATACTAATTGAAGCTCCTCCCTTCATTCCCACTCCATCCTCTGCCCCCCAAATTAATGCCTCTTGAACAGGTGCTGAACCACCTGGCAAACAAGGGAGAGTGAGGTATATGAGAAGTAAAGAAAACTATTGCTTGGCAATCAGGCAAGAGAAAGAAATAAAAGGCATCCAAATAGGAAGAGAGGAAGCCAGACTACGTGTGTTTGCAAACGACATGACTCTATATCTAGAAAACCCCATAGTCTCAGCCCAAAAGCTCCTTCGGCTAATAAACAACTTTAGCAAAGTTACAGATACAAAATCAATGTACAAAAGTCACTAATATTCCTATACATTAACAACAGCCAAGCCAAGAGCCAAATCAGGAAGGCAATCTCATTCACAATTGCCACAAAAAGAATAAAATACCTAGAAATATGCCTAAACAGGGAGGTGAAAGATTTCCACAAGGAGAATTACAAAACACTGCTCAAATAAATCAGAGAAGACACAAACAAATGGAAAAACATCACATGCTCCTGTATAGGAAGAATCAATATCATTAAAATGACCTTACTGCCCAAAGCAATTTACAGATTCAATGCTATTCCTGTCAAACTACCAATGACATTCTTCACAGAACTAGAAAAAATTATCTTAAAATTCATACAGAACCAAAAAAAGAGCCTGACTAGCCAAAGCAATCCTAAGCAAAAAGAACAAAGCTGGAGGCACCACATTACCCGACTTCAAATTATACTAAAGGGGTACAGTAACCAAAACAGCATGGTACTGGTACAAAAACAGACACATAGATCAATGAAACAGAAAAGAGAGCCCAGAAATAAGGCTGCACACCTACAACCATCTGATCATCAACAAAGCTGACAAAAAGAAGCAATGGGAAAAGACTCCCTCTTCAATAAATGGTGCTGGGATAACTGGCTAGCCATATGCAGAAGATTGAAGCGGGACCCCTTCCTTATACCACATACAAAAATTAACTCAGGACGAATTAAAGACTTAAATGTAAAACCCAAAACTATAAAAACCCTGGAAGACAACCTAGGTAATACCATCCTGGACATAGGAACAGGCACAGATTTCATGACAAGATACCAAAAGCTATTACAACAAAAGCAAAAATTGACAAGTGGGATCTAATTAAACTTAAGAGTTTCTGCACAGCAAAAGAAACTATCAACAAAGTAAACAGACAACCTACAGGATGGGAGAAAGTATTTGCAAACTATGCATCTGACAAAGGTCTAATATCGAGCATCTGTAAGAAACCTAAACTTACAAGAGAAAAAGAAACAACCCATTAAAAAATGGGCAAAGGACATGAACAGATATTTTTCAAAAGAAAACATACATACAGCCAACAAGCATATTTAAAAAACCTCAATATCACTGATCATTAGAGAAATGCAAATCAAAACCTACCATCTCACACCAGTCAGAATGGCAATTATTAAAATGTTGAAAAATTACAAATGTTGGAGAGGCTGCAGAGAAAAGGGAATACTTATACACTGTTAGTGGGAGTGTACTAGTTCAACCATTGTGGAAAGTACTATGGCAATTCCTCAAAGAGCTAAAAAGTAGAACTACCGTTCAACCCAGGAACCCCATTACTGGGTATATACCCAGAATAATATAAAGCATTCTGTCATGAAGACACATGCATGCAAATGCTCACTGTAGCACTATTTACTATATCACAATAGCAAAGATATGGAACCTAAATGTCCATAAATGACAGATTGGATAAAGAAAATGTGGTACATATACCATGGAATACTATGCTGCCATATAAAAGAACGAGATCATGTCTTTTGCAGGAATATGGATAGAGCTGGAGGCTGTTATTTTTAGCAAACTAACACAGGAACAGAAAACTAAATACTGCAGGTTCTCACTTACAAGTGCAAGCTAAATAATGAGAACACATGGACACACTGAAGGAAACAATAGACACTGGGGTCTTGAGCATGGAGGGTGGGAGGAGGGAAAGGAGCAGAAAAGGTAACTGTTGGCTATTGGGCTTAATACCTGAGTGATGAAATAATCTGTAAAACAAACCTCTGTGACATGAGTTTACCTACATAACAAACCTACATGTGTACCCCTGAACCTAAAATAAAAGTCTAAAAGAAAAGTAATGCTTAGATCCAATTCAGTGGCATATCTTACATGTAATTTTAAAATCCATATTAAGATTCCATCCTGGTATCCACATAAAGAGGTCTATGTCCTATGAATGAAATAAGATCTCTATGTAAGGAATGCCAAAGTAGAATTACAGTCCTACAGATTTCACAGATGAGAATCCATACTAACCACATAGGAGGTCATGATGGGCAGTGATTCATTTTAAAACTCTCCACTAGCCTGTTAACTTCTGTACCCACTCAATAAAGGACTTCTGAAAATGACTCTAAACTTTAATCATCTGTATGACTGTAAATGAAGCTTACTAAAAGCCACCAATAAGATAGAGGGAAAGAATTAACTAAGGATTTTGTTTTGCACAAATGGACTATTTAAAGAGAAAAAAATGCGATTTAATGGAAGAAAACATCTACAAAAGTTTGAGATGTGGGATTTGGGTCCAGAGTTCCAAAAAATTACCACAACATAAATTAGTAAACACACCTAGCCCAGCCCTGAAGAAACATCTTGTTTTCTGTCATTAGCCCACTTTCATTTTCTTCACTGTTCAGTATTCTTGTCATTACCCCCACCCTTTGTTTCAAACTCTTGATTTTCTTTTGATTTTTTACAAAGTTATTTTTTGTATCTTCTTCCCTTTCAGAAAACACTGCCTAAGTTTACGGCGACATATAAATTTAAGATAATTTTTACCCTGCAAATTCAACTCACTTTCTGCATATAGCCCTGGAACCTATGTATGATTCCCTGGCACTCTCCGTAAGTCATATTCACAATTTCAAAATTCAATTTAATATTTCACACATAAAATGCAGACTTGTGTATCATGTGCATTCTGAAATTCTGATGACTGCTATCTATTGGAAAAATTTTTTTTAATTTAAGTGGAAACAGGTCACCTTTAAACTGATATTGCCAAACCACAGGCCACCACTGTTCATGTGCTTGAACATCACTTCTACTGAAATTCTCTTGACGTGATTGTCATCTTGAAAGAAAACCCTGCCACTGGTCTGATTACTGCTGTTAGTGCCTCAGCCCAAAGCAGAATGATAAAAGGTTTTGAATCCTATGTTTAAAACTGTTGTCAAAGCCGGGCGCAGTGACTCACACCTGTAATCCCAGCACTTTGGGAGGCCGAGGTGGGTGGATCACCTGAGGTTAGGAGTTCAAGACCAGCCTAACCAACATGGTGAAACCCCATCTCTACTAAAAATACAAAACAATTAGCCTGGAGTAGTGGCACATGCTTGTAATCCCAGCTACTTGGGAGGCTGGGGTGGGAGAATCATTTGAACCCAGGAGGCAGAAGTTGCAGTGAGCCGAGACTGCACCACTGAACTCCAGCCTGGGCAACAAGAGCAAAACTCCGTCTCAAAAAAAAAAAAAAAAAAAAAACACGATGTCAAATGTTCACAAGGACTATGTGAAATAAATAATGCCAAAACACCTCTTCCCTGAGGCCAATACGGCTTGAAAGTTTGAATTTTCACATTCCTACACAGAAAATTAAATTATTTTCAGAATCAGCAGGACTCTAATATCTAAGACCAAACCTGAAAATTACATAGTTTCAAGATTTGAAAATTGTTTTGGACAGCTGTACAATCCTACCCAGTAGAGATAAGGGGATACAATAATCACCAGGAAAAGAAATGGTAAAAAATGTGTTATATTATAAACTGCACCAGATTAGAGGTTCAAATATCAGAAGCCATAAATGAAAGAGGACTCAGAAAAAAGACCCACCTTGGACCAGAACTAATCCTTTAGGACTAAGAATTTATGTCTTTTCTAGTCTCTTACTGAAGAGTAATTGGATATTAATGTTAGAACCCATGGGACCACACCATTATCCATAACCTTGTGTGGTAAACTATGTACCATTTTTTAACAAGTTAAAAATACATGTATGTTGGCCAGGTGCGGTGGCTCATGCCTGTAATCCCAGCACTTTGGCAGGCTGGGGGAGTAGATCACCTGAAGTCAGGAGTTCAAGACCAGCCTGGCCAACATGGTGAAACCCCGTCTCTACTAAAAATACAAAAAATTAGCCGGGCAGGGTGGCACATGCCTGTAATCCCAGCTACTTGGGAGGCTGAGGGATGAGAATCGCTTGAACCCAGGAGGCAGAGGTTGCAGTGAGCCAAGATGGCACCACTGCACTCCAGCCTGGGCAACAGGGTGAGACTCCATCTAAAAAAATAAATAAATAAATAAATAAATAAATAAATAAAAAGTATGTTCTAAGTTTAAAGGGAGCTTGGGAGTGATGGGGAGGAGACAGTAGGTCAAAATCAACAATGAAGTGGAATTAAGGGCAAATCTTTTACAGAAAAAAACTACAGAGGCACTGCTACCCCCGAGGAGGTGGTGATACTATCCCTTCTTGGCACCATCACAGTACTCGTGTCAGAGGCCATGAAATATATCGCGTCCTCAGTTCAGAAACTATGAATCCTCTTTACAGTGATTCCTCCTTATAAAATCCTAGCCCTGTCTTTAAAGGCTTTTCTTGTGATTAAACTAAAAAAAAATTTTTGCTGAAAAACAAATTAGAAAATCCAGTGTGATCTATGTGCCAAAGTGAAAGTGTACATGTTTTAGGTCTGATTCATTTTCTTTATTTTGTAATTAACTGCCTAAATGGCTAGAGAAGCTCTGGCTTCATTACACAATCTGGAAACAGCAAGAACATCTTTCCAAAGATGTAGCTGTCAAATTATCCCTCTAACAATGTATTGTTTTCTAATGCCAGTGTAGAAATGCCAAGGCACTCTGACAGATAACTGTTTCAAAATGCTTTTAAATAGCATGAAATATCGGTTTTGGAACCAGCTGGCAACTAGAAGGGCAGAGGCAGCAGGAAAAGGGGAAGATAGTAATAGAGATGCTGAAAATTCTGGGACTCCTTTCTGACACCGGCATATTAATGCTGGCACAGTGGTTCCCAGCATTTGTGGAACAGCCATTAGGCTGAATATTTTTTTCCAAAAGAAAAAAAATCCCTCCATTTATGTGTATATTAGGAATTCTACATGTTGGAATACGAGAAAAAACATACAACAGCAATAAGGAGAGAAGGTAATCTAAAAGTGTGTTATCAAATAGCTATTTGCTAACTGTGGAAAGAAATTTCTAAATTTCACCTCATTGGGAAAAGCAAAAGAAGTTCTCTGTAACCTGACATGTCTACTTGGGTCTTAACACCTTAGTCTAAAAACATATGGTAGCTACTGGCCACCTGTGGCTATTGGGCATTAGTCCAAATTCATATGTGCTGTATGTTGCAACACACACACTGGATTCAAAGACTTTGGATTTAAAAAAAAATACAAAATATCATCAATATTTTTCATATTGAAATTTAAATGACAATATTTTAGATATATTGGATTAAATAAAATCATTATTAAAATTAATTTCACCTATTCTTTTTACTTTTCTTAACATGGCTACTAGAAAATTTAAGATTAAATATGTCCCTCGTTGTGGCTCTCATTATATTTCTATTGTACAACACTGAAATACAAAATAAATCGCACTGGATTAAATTACCTTTACAATCTCTTCTAGCTGTAGTATTCTGAGACTAAAAAACTGCAGGCTCGAGCTAAGTTGTAAGTAACACTGTTATTTTAGAGAAACCTAGCTTTTGTTGCTATTTCATTCTTTCTCCACGCTTTTTCATGCAGAAAATAATGATTAAATTGCCACTTGGTCATATTCCTTTTTGCTTCACACTATCCTAATGTCTGTCCATTTTTAATGATCTGTAATGAATAATAAACTCTGCAGGTTTTTTTCAGTTTTAATATCTACAAATTAGGAGTCAAGGTATTAGAAAGCTTTAGAAGTCTTATATTCCAGTGGTCCCTAAATATGCTGGCACCTCTGAATCATCTGGGGAACATTTGAAAAAGACTGATTCCTAGGCTTGGTATCTGGACATTCTGACTCAGCAGGTCAAGATGAGGCCCCAGACCCTGTACTTCTCAAGAAACATCCCAGGGCACTCTGAAGCTTAAAGTTTGGAAACCACTGACCTAGCCCAACTTTACTAGTAACTAGGGTAAGATGAATTGTCCCAGTGCTAAAACCCAGTGACCTCAGACCTGGAGCCAGGATGCAGGGCTCCTAACTCTAGCTCACCACCATTGTTGAAAAACATTCTGTCAAACACACACATACTCCTCCAGAGCTCCAGCCATCAGTATATCTTCTTTGTCAGTTTTAACATCCAACTCTGGTTCTCCATTAAGCAGAAGCTTCAAGTTATAAATAACCAGCAAAGTACCTGGTAGAAAAATAGATGTTTGACTTGTCAGTATTTTAAATACACTAAATGCTAGTCATTGTGCTATCATTTCATCTATGGAACTGAGTCTGCTATAAAATTTTCTTTTGTACTTCAGTAAATAGTATGTTTGGCTAACTCTTTGGCTAAGCCAAGATATGTCTTCTAGCAAGTTTCACTCCCTGCCAAAGAGTGCTGAGTTTCTACAGTATGGTGCCTCTTATTATAATTCAATTCATTACAAGTCTTTCAATGTGGATTTTTAAACTTTGGCACTCTTTTCATAATTTGCATTATGAAATTTGTTAAGAGCCTGAGCCAAGCTTGTGTTATAGGTAAAGCTCTCATTGGTAGTACTGAATTTAACACACATAAAAACAAAGAAGGGTTTTTAAACATTGTACAAATAAGAAATATTGTTTTCATACACTATAGCAGGTGCTGGTAAATTTTTTCCATAAAGGGCCAGATAGTAAATATTTTAGGCTTTGCAGGCCATACGGTCTCTGTTGCAACTATTCACAATGTAGCTCTGCCACTGAAGCATGAAAGCAGCAATGGAGAATACATAAATGAATGAGTGTGGTTGCGTTCCAATAAATCTTTATTTACAAGAACAGGTATGGGGCCACATTTGACCCGAGACCATAATTTGCTGACCCCTGCTCCAAGGCATGATTAACAAAAAAAGTCCAAATTATTTCCAGTTGATTATGATACAAAGTCAAACAGGATCATTAGAGTAATTAAGAGGACAACTAATTATACTTTTTGGTAGTTCTTAAACACAAGGGAGAATAGCATAGTAGCTAAGAACATGGGCTAAATGGCTGTGTCTAAATCCTGGATCAACTGTGCCAGTAGACACAGTGCATTCGACGTGTTGAACAGAAAGTTGGTGGAGGTGGAAAGAATGGGGAAAAGATCTGTTAATCTGGAGAAGAATGTCTGCAATACTTTTGCTAACTCTTTGCCACAGAGACATTAATTCGTTATTTTATAAGTTGCTAACTCTCTTACATACCTGTTATCACTCTATCTCAAATGATGCAATAAGTGTCTCCTAACTTTGCTATCTAGTGCAGCGACTGTGGAGTCCCTGTGGTCATAGCCTGTATCATCCTCTTCTTACCCAGTTTCACCAAGCTCATGCAAGTACACATCCTTCTCCCAGTGTCAGGGATTTACAGTAATTTGTTTGGATGCTCTTAAGACAAAGCTCATATGGATAAAATAAATGACTGTCCCCAGTGTGAATCCACATGAGATTATAAGAACAAAAAAAATGAAAACATATGTACAGTGTCTTTGATAAGACACTGAAAACAAATACTTCCATCAAATTGTCAGAGTTTTGATGATCTTACCACATTTTCCATAGATCACATCAAACTGCTGCATCAATTCTGCTTCAGTTTTAAATGGGGAGTATTTATAAATTATAGATAATTCCATTGCAAATTTCTGGGGATCATCTGTGACAGATTCTCTGGTTCTTATTAACCATGAGGGCATTGGAACTACAACCTATTTAAAAAAAAACACATCAATTTACTATGAAATACACAAAAAACATTATTCTTTTGTCTTATCTATTTCATTCCACTCTTCATCTAGACAAATTACAAAACACTAAGTTAAAAGTTCATTTTCCTCCTATAATCTAGTTGTATAAGAGACACATAACAAATGTGTATAGACAGGATTGTATTTTAAAATACTCCATTGTGGAATATGGGAACAGATGGAGTGTACTTCAACTCCCTCTTGAAGGGTAGAATGGCAGAGGAAACAACAGAATCAGCATTTTAAAAGTTGAAAAGCAGATGACAGCACACGCAAGAAAAGCAATCTAAAGCCCAAGCCAGAAAGCAGAGCCAGCCTGACTTGCAATTCAGAATTCCTACACTGTAATTCTCAGGGACTGATGGCAGGAGTTAACTCTAGAGTTGGGGTAGGGGGAGAAGAGAACTATAAGTAGCATTTAGATCCCCATCAGCAACAGCTCCTCCTCAACCCCCAGGGTCTGGATATTTACCCTCTGGAAAGAGTAGAACAATGGATTTCTAGACTGGAAGACATACCAGGCACTGCTCTTGTGGGCACCTTACTGAGATTAGATAGACCGAGTGAAAGTATACTTAGCAGATGCTGAGATCTTCAGATCTCGTTCCCATTTGTCTCCCAGAAGCTGACAGGTAGGTCTGTAGGCAGAAGACTAGGAGTCTTCCTTGAAAAATCTGACCAACCCAGAAGGAAAGACACAAAGACAATTACATTAAGGATTCCCCAATAAAAAAAAAAGCTCAGTTAGATCACATTATTGTGACAATCATAGCAGCCAGGCCCCACTCACAGTCTCAGAGCTTGCACTCGTCATTTTACTGGACTTATCTTTAAAGTATTCAGGAGTAACGGCCATCTAAGAAAAGCCTCTAATATGATAATAGAGAACAAATAATTATAAACAAAGTAACTCAGTGAAAACAGAAACCATAAAAAGATGAAAACTTCAACAAGGCAAAAATCAATTATTGTTAATATCTTCAGAGTTATAAGAGAAAATACTGTATCCATGAAACAAGAACGAGATATTTTTGAAAAAGAAACATTCAGAGAATAAGAAAGACTTCTTGGAAATTAAGAATATGATTACAGAAAAAAATTCAGTGAAAGTGTCAGAGGTGTCTGAATCAGAGTGACTCCATCTTGAACAGGGGCTGGGTCAAATAAGGCTGAGACCTACTGGGCTGCATGTTCATGTTAGGCATTCTTAGTCACAGGATGGGATAGGAGGTGGGCACAAGATACAGGTCACAAAGACCCTGCTGACCCAGCTTCACTAAGAAGCTGGCCAAATCCCACCAAAACCAAGATGGTGACCTCTGGTCATCCTCACTGCTCATTATATGCTAATTATAATGTATCAGCATGCTAAAAGGCACCCCTACCAGTGCCATGACAGTTTACAAGTGCCATGGGAATGTCAGGAAGTTGCCCTATATGGTCTAAAAATGGGAGGAAACCTCACTTCCTGGAATTGCCCACCCTATTCCTGGAAAATTCATGAATAATCAACCCCTAGTTTAGCATATATAATCAAGAAGTAACTATAAGTATACTCAGTTGAGCAGCCCAGGCCACTGCTCTGCCTATGGAGTAATCATTCTCTTATTCCTCTACTTTTTTCTTAATAAACTGCTTTCACTTCACTCTATGAACTCGCCCTGAATTCCTTCTTGCACAAGGTCCAAGAACTCTCTCTTGGGGTCTGGGATCAGACCCCTTTCTGGTAACAAAAGGGTTCAAAAATAAATATTAGAACAACTCCCAGAAAATAAAGCAAAAATATAAAACTCAGAAAACAGGAAGGAAAGGCTAAGAAAATTAGAGAACCACTTCCAGAATACAATAGCTAAAAAACAGGAGTTACAAAAGGATAGAAAAGAGAATATGAATAGAAGAAAATCATCAGCTATTACAAGAAACTATCCCAGAATTGAAGAATATGAGTTTCCAAATCAAAAAGACCCAGCAAGTGACCAGCACAATGGGTGTAAATAGACCACGCAAAGGCAAAACACTTGAAATCAGAATACTGAGACAAAGAAGATTATTTTGACCTTCAAAGAGTAAAGGCAAGCAAACAAACAAACAAAAAACGAATGGGTCACATATAAGATTAAGTAATTAAATGGCTTGAGACTGCTCAATAACAACACTAGAAACTAGATAATGAAGCAAAACCTTCGAAATCCTGAAAGAAAATAAATTCCAACCTAGAAATAATATCAAGCCCAACTACCATTAAGTGTTAGGGTAGAATAAAAACCTTTTAATGCATGTGAGGTCTCCAGATATTTTGCCCCCTATGTTCCTTTGCTCAAGAAGTCACTGGAGAACATGCTGTACCAAGGAGAGAGAGCAAGCTATGGAAGAAGATGTGAGATCTAGGATCTCAGAGATGACACAGAAGAGAGGGGAAGGGAATCACCAAGACGAGGGCAAGGGCAGATCACAGGATGGCAGCTGAACACCACCATGGAAGCAGGAGTGTGAGCTGCAGCACAGGAGAAAGCCCTGAGCAGACTTCATCAGGAAGATGGGACTGAGAGGACAGCACTTTGAGACTGGGGTTAACACAGTGACACGAACACAGAAAACCAAGCAAATATTCAGTGACAGTAATACACATAAAAAACTAAGCAGTCAATGATTAATTTTAGGGGAAATAAGTTGTACATGAAAAGGAAAAATAATAGTTGATGGCTTGGTATAATTTGAACAGTGTTTATAAAGTCTTATAAAGTAAACACTGAATATTGTCATAGCTAAAATTACAATAAAGCTATGTTGAGGGCGGGGGATGAGAAGACTACGATTATATGATAGAAGCAGAGAAAAAAGGTAGGTAAATCCTCTTTTATAGTGGGAGGTTAATAGATAATGCCTAGATAAAATCAAGAAGTAGCAATACAGGCATGCTATTTAGAGATACATAGGTAAATATCAAAAGAACAGGCCATTTATTTTTATTTTTATTTTATTTTTTTGAGACAGGGTCTCACTATGTTGCTCAGGCTGGCCTCAAACTACTGGGCTCAAGTGATCCTCCCTCTTCAGCCTCCTGAGTAGCTGGGACTACAGATGCACTCCACCGTGCCCAGCTAGAACTTGTTAATATTGTTGTTAAGAGGTTGTCTCTGTGGAAGTAGAAATGGGAAGTGGTTGCTGTTTTTAGTTTTTTTTAAAAAAGGGAATGGCCCATTTTAAGAAAGCTATAATTAAGGGTTAGCCCAATTTTCCATGCCCTTTACACACATAACATGCAACATAAATGCTTACAGCATCACTTTTCCTCAGGTCAGGCTCCCACACGGCTTACTCCTTTTTACCTGCAGACTGCTCCTGTCACCCAGCTCCACCCACTGGCAGTCTCACAGTCCTACACCGTCCATCCAAACTCCATATGCATCTCCAGGTCTGAGACTTGCTGAGGCCATTAATCTCCAGTACCAGCTTTTCCGGCTGCAAGTTGTACTCTCTCCATAAAACCCTCATTGGGCACTCGAGGCCCTCTATCTCTCCATCCATATCATTGCTTTTGATAATCTGGTAACAGTAGCCACACAGACTCATTGAGGAGCATTCTTTTTAAATACCCTCACTTTTTTATCCAATTCATATGTGTCTACCTTATTTTGTGATAAAGCTGAAGACTCTTAGATGGCCATATGACCTTCTGCTTCTTTTCTACCTTCATAGAGTCTATCCAGTACTAGGCAGAGAGTAGTTCCTCAACATGTATTTGTTATATTGAATTATAACTGACAGCCATAATAATAAAACTCAGGCACTGGTAATTAATAAAATGCCTCTGGATCAGCAAATGGAGTTGAAATTATGGTCACCAGAGTTACAGTTTTAAGTCTATTTTGCATTAATTTCTTTACATTTTGTATTCCAAGTCTTTGACTCCAATATTTTATTTATTTTTAAAATGATAATCAATTTATGGCATATATGGTGGAAAGATTTTGCAGGTTTCTTCTAAAAAGCTCATCATGTCTAAGGGAGCCTCTTACTTTGGGAGATTTGAGCACATGGATAATGAAAATGAAGTTCTCAGGAAAGGGTCAAGAGGACAGGTCTTTGATGTCCCCAGAATGTCTTGATACCTTCTCTCCATTTCCCAAACATATTCCTAAGTTTCTAAATAATATCAGAAAGAACCCATGACAAGACTTCACCTCCTGAGAGAGTAAATGAAAGCAACATCATTGCTATGGGAACAGAAGGAAAACTTCAACTCTTACCTCACTAAGACTTTCTTCTTCACAGAATGTCTGAGAAAAAAACACACAGGTCATCGTTTCTTCCTTCTTCGTAAAAAGAATAAAGTCTTTTCCAATTCTCATGGACCCACTATATTAAAAATGAAGAACATCATGTTTTACACCTCAAATACTAAAAAGGAAGAAACAGGCAGACTGTTATCACCGTGTACTGTAACAGGATGTTCTTTCCAACACTCTGTTCTGCTGACCCGTCATCAAGAGGGTACAATTTTTTTTTTTTCAAAGTAAAGCAGAAGAATTTGAACTAAGCCAGCTCCACACTCTTGCTTGAGGTTTGGCTGCAGGGGAAAGGGTCCATTCAGGGCTCAAAAGAACAATCATCTGTCTCAGGTAGGAGCCGTACAAGTGAGCCTCATGTCCTGACCTTTCAATGCAGCATACTAAAACAAAGAGCTGCAGACACAGCACCTAGGTTAAAATATGCTTTGGGAAACAACAGAACATAGAGATGCAACAAAGCACTAAAGTACAGGGGTACCGCTTCAGGAATCTTTGAAAGAGGATTTATTTTATTATTTGGGAGAATTAACCTAAAATGTTGTAAAGATAAAAGTCAGTTATGGGCCGGGCGTGGTGGCTCATGCCTGTAATTCCAGTACTTTGGGAGGCCGAGGCGGGCTGATTACTTGAGGTCAGGAGTTCGAGACTAGCCTGGCCAACATGGTGAAACTCTGTCTCTACAAAAATACAAAAATTAGCTGAGCATGGTGGCTCATGCCTGTAATCCCAGCTGCCCAGGAGGCTGAGGCAGGAGAATCACTTGAACCCAGGAGGCGGAGGTTGCAGTGAGCCAAGATCGCACCACTGCACTCCAGCCAGGGTGACAGAGTGAGAATCTGTCTCAAAAAAAAAAAGTCAGTTTTGTATATGGAGATTCCAACACAAAGTAGGTCACCCCTGCCTCAAGTTTATATATTTTTTAAAGCTTTACATGCCTGCATCATTCTGTGTAAATTGCTTTATAAACAGTGTTCCCAGTATCAATAATATATGTCTTAAGGGAAAAAAAATTCTCACCTTTTAAGACCATTGCCGTATTGCCCTATGAACTTCAAGGTTGACAGCCGTTTTTTGGATCGTCCAAAGTAAATGATGTCTGAAGCTTCCTCTGTAATTGACAGTGACTTTTAAGGTGGTTAGGAAGACTCTTTGACACTGGCCTGAGGCCCAGCTGTCAGGACCTCACATTCCTCAGAACATCAGGACAAACCCATAGCTCTTGGGTCAGCCCAGAGACAAGGATTTTCATCAGAATCCACAGTCTCTGACAAGGGTCTTAATGGTATTACAGTCAGCCCAAGGTACGGCAGGCTCCACATTCATAGACTCAACTAATCTTGGACTGAAAATATTCAGAAAAAAATAAATTGCGTCTGGACTGACCACGTACAGACTTTTTTTTTGTCATTATTCTCTAAACAACAAAGTATAACAACTATTTAATAGCATTTACACTGCATTGGGTATTATAAGGAACCTGGAAAAGATTTAAAGTATACAGGAGGATATATATAGGTTATACGGAAATACCGTGCCATCTTCTTTCCACAGCTTTTGGTATCCTAGAAAGGTCCTGGAATCCATTCCCTACAGATACTAAGAAACAACTGTATACTGAAAGAGATGAGACAGACCTAACCATGTGGCCTTAGGTAGAGTTTAAAAGTCTGAGCCTTAATTTCCATGTGGTGTAAGAGGCAACTACGTAATACTTATATCACGGTGTTGCTGATGAAGATAAATGAAACAAATGAAATGAGATGATGTATTTGTGAAATCCTGAACACAAAACTTGGCACTTGGTGGGTGTTACCAAATTACAAGTGTTATAATTACTTGTACCACTAGTAATTTCCCCACGAATTTAGCCCTTAACCAGGCCCATGTGAGACTAAGAGGGGCAGGATGACCTCTGCTCTGATACTACCTGGGAAAGAAGGCTAACCATTTCAGACGTTCCAAATCATTCTCCCGACCTCTCCAGGTATTCTGGAATTCTAGACAGTAATCCTCTGGACTTCAGAATATATTAATACCAATCTCCAGAACCAAGAATGTTCTTCTTGTTGGCCTACCTGAATACATGCTGAAGAATTGTCCTGAGGACCCTCTGTCAGTCTGGGTACAGATATGCTATAGTTCAGTGGCACATGGTATGAGGTGTGTAAAAGCCACCAAACATTCTGCTTCTCTGAAACTAACTGGACCTCCTATGATATGTTCCTATGAGGGGTTAGGCATTAGGTAAGGATATCCATAATGACAATCTTAGCTAACACTTATTGATTGTTTAGTATATGCTAGGTACTATGTTTATACTTACATGCACAGCTTATTTAATATTTATAACAAAACAAGAAAGGTATTATTACTATGACCTGCATGTCACAGATGAGCAAATGTAAGTCTAAGGAGTTTTAAAAACCTGCCCAAGGTCACAGAGCTGATAGAGGGTACAGCTAGGATTATAACCCAAAGTTCTAAGTCTTGGTACAGACATGGTATAGCTCTGAACCAAATCCCATGTGTTCATTACACACTACATGAACTCACGTGCATGGTTACCCGGTTCTGAGCATGGGAATAAACCACTGAACAGGCCAGGCATGGCTCCTGCCTTGGACAACACTATGTCATGGTAGGAGAAACAGATTGAAAGTAAACTAATAAATAAGATCATTTCTGACTGAGTATTAAGTGAAGAAAACAAAACCAGGGTAATGCGATAGAGAATTAACAGGAACGTGGCCTGCAGACAGAATGATCAGGGAAGGCCACTGGCAGATGGTTAACATGAGATGGATTCAAACGATGAGGGGTCAGCCATGTGTGGGTGGAGTGTTCTAAGGGAGGAAGTGGGAAGAACAAGAAAAGGCCAAAGAGGTGCATAGGGCCAAATAATGTAAGGTCTTGGAAGAGATGCTGAGAGTACAAATTGTATTAAGTAATGGAAAACCACTGAGGGTTTTCAGCAGGAAAATGATATTAATGTACATTTTCAGCAGGAAAATGTACATTAAAAGAAAGAAAATCACTCAGGATGCTGTGTGGGGAATGGACTATAAAGGGGCAAGACTAGAGAATTTTTTAAAAACCCGGAAAGTACTGTAGTCATTTTCTATGGGTCAAGATTGATCTAGCTCCGTTTGAACAACGGATAGATTCTACTTTTAGTCATCTTCCTTCTACTTTATTACTAGTTGATGCTACTATGTAACTGAAGTGTGAGTTCCTTCTGAAGGTCTGAATATCCGTCACTTGTCTGTGTTTCAAACATTTTGTTCATGACCCATATAAAAAGAGTTGCTTCTTTTCATAAGGAATTCCCTTAGAATATATCACATATATTCTGTCATTTATTTTAGGAATTCAAAAAAATGAACTTAATATTCAGGCTAGAAGTGAAAAATTACTTTTTTCAGCATGGGTTTTTTCTGTTGTTGTTACAAACTCTTCTTTCTCATTTAAACAATAAAAGACCAAGAATACTTTTAATCAAAATGACCTGGAAAAATCAAAATTATCCGAAGTCAGAACAAAACTGGGTGAAACAGTCTTTCTAAACTTGCTAATACTCTTCAACTATTCAGACCAAGGGGAAACTTCAGAGCTGAAATAAGATATTTGCCATACCTCATATCTTCAGCTTCTATCAGCAAATCAATATTTGAGCATACTGATGCATCCTTTCCTCAGTTGTGGAACTGACCATGGCAGTTCCATATTACTGAACTCTCACCATTTTTTAAATCTAGTGGTCAAAAACCCTGGCTTGTGGAACACACCATGTTTAAAGAATTCAGAAATACAATACCTAAAACAACCCAATGCCCTCAGATGGAATCACATTTCAATTTCACAGCACACAGACACTGTATACCCATAATGTGCTGGCTTTGTGCTAACCTTGAATACACAAAGATAAGTCATGAAATATATTGTAGATGTATTCTTTATGATGGGAACATTCATTTGAAGCAAGTAAAGCTTTCAAAATGCAGAGGAAAAAACAAGGCTAAAAACAAGGAGAGGAAACCTCTACCTCGAGGTTAAGCAAAATTAAAAATAGCCTACAGGCACAGGAAACTGCCTGGGGCTCTCACAAGCAATACCTAAAGGATGAGCTAAAAACAATCTCAGAGTCTATTCAGTGACTATTTGTTTTCCATTCATTCCCAGATGCTTATTTCTTACAATCAGTAACATTTGCCTTTCATTTTTCTGACAATATTAATATACATTTACTTTTTGTCTTGGTTTAGATGGTTACAATAAATTTACTCTGCCAGCTGGGATACTTAAACCTAAAAAGTTCAACAAAAAGTCTGGGGCTTACTTTCTTTAATAGCTCCATACCTGTTTTTGCATAGATAGCTCAATTTATTTATTTTGTAGGTTTTCAGACTGTTTCCTTTAACAGCCAGTTAGGTATCTAGATAATTAACTTACCAGGGCTCATGCCACATCCATCATCCAGGAAACACAACATGAATCCCCCCTGCAGTTTTTCATTATCCACTGTAAGAGAAAGCAGTTATTACTAATAAATATCGGGCTTAATTTGTTAGTCAGAAAGTCATGCTGCTAGAATAATTATTCGTCTTCCTCCAATGCAGCCACAGAGTGACAGAGTTATGGCACAAAGATGGAGCCTAGAGTGGAGTCTTGGCTACAGCTTCACAAGAAACTGCAGGGGAAAAATAATCATGCAACATAAAGGCTTTAAATTAACACAAAACATCTACATGTGAAAAAATTATGTATACAGCAGGACATGTTCTGCTCTGCAACTGGACTAGTCCTTTAAATGTCAGGCATTTCCTCTCTGTGGGGAGGGAAAAAGGTAAATGGTGAAGTGACCCCAGGATCCTTTGCTCAAACTGACCAACCTCTGTGCCCTTCCACCAAAGCACAATTATAAAATAAATCTAGGCCATTCTTATTAAATCCATCAGGCTCCCTTCTAAGTAGTTAATTCTCATAAGAGCCATTTGTGAGTGCATCTTCATGGGAGCAAATACTTACCTCTTCAAGACGCACTTAATTTTTGAAAATGGCTAAGTTATTTGAAATCAATTTTAATGATTTGAAGATATCATTAAATTACATAACATAATATTTGGTTTACAAAAATGTTGGAGGTAGGCTGGGTGTGGTGACTTATGCCTATAATCGCAGAACTTTGGGAGGCTAAGGCAAGAGGATCACTTGAGGCCAGGGGTTCAAGACCAGCCTGCCCAAGGTAGTAAGACTTTGTCTCTAAAATAAATTAATAAAGTTAAAGCTGTAACTAAAACTAATGAGACTAATTTTAGTGCCCAGTTTGTAAACTGGCCCTGAAAATGATTTCAGTAGTTGGACATAGGAGTTCTAGCACATTTCTCTTTCTTAAATGACAGTGTTATTCAGGAATAATTTATGCACAATAAACTGCACATGTTTAAAGTGCACAATTTGACAAATTTTAACACACACACACACACACACACACACGTATGAAATCATAACCACAGTCACAGCAGCGAACATATCCACACCTCAAATGTTTCCTCCTGACCCTTTGTAAATCCTTCCTTAGGACCCTTCCACGTCCCATCACCCTCACCTTACCCTCAAGCAATCACTGATATGCTTTCTGTCCCCATAGATTCATTTCCAGCACATTTATTAAGTCAACTTCTCTGTTCAAAAGTCACTTAGAGACTGGATGTGGTAGCTCACGCCTGTAATCCCAGCACTTTGGGAGGCCAAGGAGGGAGGATGGCTTGAGCCCAGGAGTTCAAGACCAGCCTGGCCAACATAGTGAGACCTTATGGCCACTAAAAATTAAAAATAAAAAAATAGGCTGGGCACGGTGGCTCATGCCTGTAATCCCAGCACTTCGGGAGGCCAAGGTGGGCGGATCACGAGGTCGAGAGATTGAGACCATCCTGGCCAACATGGTGAAACCCTGTCTCTACTAAAAATACAAAAATTAGCTGGGTGTGGTGGCGTGTGCCTGTAGTCCCAGCTACTCTGGAGGCTAAGGCAAGAGAATCTCTTGAACCCGGGAGGCGGAGGTTGCAGTGAGCCCAAATCGCACCACTGCACTCCAGCCTGGGCGACAGAGCGAAACTCCATCTCAAAAAAAATAGCCAGGCATGGTGGCACATGCCTCTAGACTTGGCCACTTGGGAGGCTGGAACAGGAGGATCACTTGAGCCTAGGACTTCAAGTTTGCAGTAAGCTATGATCACACCACTGCACTCCAGCCTGGGCAACAGAGAGAGACCCTGTCTCAAAAAAAAAAAAAAAAGTCACCTAGAATTAATATTTTAAAAAGTAAGTAAGTTTCAAGACAGCCCATGAATACATACTTATAAAACATACTTAATCTTTCTGGGTTTATAATTTCATGGTGATGTGCCCGCTTCTAATCCCCTCTTCTCTCCAATTTACTTCTTTGTCTGTAAACTTTTAGGATCCGGACTACCATTTCATTTTCCCAGTTCCTTCTCTCTACCTAGTCCTATGGTCTGCTTACCTCAACTTCTGTGTCAGGACATTCCTCCTCTCCCCCTTTAAAGTACTTGTTCTGTTTAGTCCTCCCTCAAAGGCTGATATTTCCTCACTGTTTAATGAGGGGAATCCAACCCTGTTGAGTTCTCTGCATAAGGCAGTAGCTCTCAATCTTGGTTGCACATTGAAATCAACTAGAGATATTCTAATGTAACTGGTCTTGGATAGGGTTCAGAAATTGGTATTTTCTCGTAAAATTTCCCTCAGTTATTCTAATGTTCATCCAGGATTGGGAATCACCTGATGCAAAACCACGTTCAGCCTCGGGCAGCTCTGCATGGTAGCCACAGCTGATTTGCACTTCTTTGTAAATATTTCTCCTAGAAGGAGCTTGCAGAAAGAAGGGTATTCCTTCAGTAAACGGCTGGGAAAGACCAAAGATTCCCATCAGACATATACTACAGTATCTCCTTTTTTTGTAAATCCATATTAGGAATTAGAGACAAATAAGTATAGCCTCAAAATTTAATAATCCCCCATTATCCACTCTGAAACCTGGCCTTGTTTATTTCAATTCCTTAAAACTATGAATTTCAGGTATATTTTATCACTTGTTAATTACGCGTGTCCAAAACAAAACAAACACCTCCTCCCACGTTAGACTTTCTCCTCCTCCTCGTTTCCTGTTCAATAAATGGCATCACCCTGCCCCTAGGCTTCAGCTGTGCAAGTCAAAACCTCGGATCATCATTATGTTCTCCATCTCCTCACCCCTCACACGGGCAACCATCTGGTCCTCTCAATTTCACTGCCTTAATGACTCCCATTTGACCACTTTCTCTATCCCCAGTATACTGCCTGGGGATACAGACACCATCTCCTTTCTGGATCACAACAGCGCCCTACCTTCTTGCTCTCCCTACAGTCACAGGGTGCAGCCAGTCTTCCATCAGTCGTGCATTTCACTGCTCTCCTGCTTCAAACCTCTCCATGGCTTCCCAATGCTCTCAGGATAAAATCCAACCACCTAACAAATCTTGTTTGCCCTCCATGACCGGGCCATCTGGATAACTCTCCAAGCTCATTTCTTGTCTTTCCCTCACCTGCCCATACTGCCACCTTCCACTCCTGCACAAACACTCCCCTTGAACAAATCTTAAACATCTCAAACATTTTTTCTACATTCTCTCCATATTCCAGTTGCTGCACATAATGCCCTTCCACCCTTTCCACGCTTCACTCACCAGGCGAATGTCTATTTTCTCTTTCAATTAGTTCATATCAGACTTCTTTTAGGAAGCCTTTCCTAATCCTTCCATGTCATTAGTGCCCATAATTAATGACCCCTTTATCTCTGTTTTTGTACCTTTGTAGTATATTAAAATACCTGTTCGTGTATCTATTTGTCTTTTGGACCAATGGTTCCTACACTTTTTTGGAACACAGTTACCTCAGAGATATAAGGAAAGCTATGGACCCTCTACCCACCAAAGTACAGCTACATACTACATTTTTCATGGGCTCCACACTAAAATGCCAATTTCTTAAGAGTGTAAACGCAGCACCTAGCCCAGTGCCTGGCATTTAGTAAGCACTAAAAAAAAGTACCGAATGCATATCCATGTTTACTGGAACTAATACACACAAACGTATAAAACACCACGGGAAACATATTTCATTTGAATTTTATAGCCTTCAAATTAATTAGTTGACAGAAATTTAAGATTGACAATAATTCGAGGCCACAGTAAATAATCTGAAAACTAGTCCAATCTTAGATTAACTTTGTATCCCCAGAATAATCCTATGTATTGATGCATAAGCATTGTCCCTGCTTTTTTTATCCATTTTTTTAAGAAAATCAGTTTGCTAGGTTGATAGCCATAAGATGGCTTGCCTCAATAAAAAATGAACAGGTAAATCAATAAAAACATGAATAGGTAATTTTAAGCTAAACTGAACTATAAGTTCAGTTTTTCACAAAATATACATAAACACAAAAAAGAAGTAAGTGCCAGCCATGCCTGGTGGCTCATGCCAGTAATCCCAGCACTTTGGGAGGCTGAGGCAGAGGGAATCACTTGAGGTCAGGAGTTTGAGACCAGCCTGGCCAACATGATGAAATCCCGTCTCTACTAAAAATACAAAACTTAGCCGGGTGTGTGCCTGTAATCCCAGCTACTGGAAAGGCAGAGGCAGGAGAATTGCTTGAACCTGGGAAGCGGAGGTTGCAATGAGCCGAGATGGTGCCACTGCACTCCAGCCTGGGCAACAGAGTGAGACTCCATCTCGAAAAAAAAGGAGAAGTGCCACTTTAATCTCAACTTGGTCAAGATCTTATTTTGTTTGTTTATGAAGATAAACTGAGTACTTAGAGAAAGTAGGGTGAAATAAACACTCTCATTCCCTGCTGGTCTCCAGTCACAAACCCCAAAGAACATAATGCGTGGATTCTGATTACATTTGTTATATTTTGTGACTATGGATAAGTCTTCTCAATCCTCCATCAATTGTGCATGTGCTCTGAATGAAAGGCAGCTTACATCTGTCTCTCCTCCTCCATTTCTAGTACTACTGCCCTATTATAATTCTCATGAAATCTTGCCTAGGTAATTCCCATAGCCATACCTCCCTGCTATCCTTGCTTTCATACTTCTCCAGACTCTCTTGTAAGGTATTTCTGGAATGAGTATCTTTCTTTAAAAAAGAAAAGAGCTCAGCCAGGCGCGGTGGCTCAAGCCTGTAATGCCAGCACTTTGCGAGGCCGAGGCGGGCGGATCACAAGGTCAGGAGATCAAGACCATCCTGGCTAACATGGTGAAACCCCGGCTCTACTAAAAATACAAAAAAAAATTAGCCGGGCATGGTGGCGGGCACATGTAGTCCCAGCTACTCGGTAGGCTGAGGCAGGAGAATGGTGTGAACCTGGGAGGCAGAGCTTGCAGTGAGCCGAGCTCGCGCCACTGCACTCCAGCCTGGGCGACAGAGCGAGACTCCGTCTCACAAAAAAAAAAAAAAAAGACCACATGTCTACTTAGAAAACTGACACTGCTCAAAGTTCTTCAGTGGTCCACTGACTGCAGAAAAAACCTTGGTATGGTATTGAAGATGCTCATTCATTTGGTTCTGACACTTAGTGCGAGTCAACCGAGCCTCAGCATTGTTCCCTGAGTGCTTTTTCACCAGACATCTGTGTGGCTCCCTCCCTTTCATCATTCAGGTCTTTGCTTGTGTGTTAGCTATTTAAAGAAACCCTCTTAGACCACCCATGAAAAGCTGTATACCCCTTCCATGGCTCTCTGTTCTCTTATCCTGCTTTATTTTTTTCCCTTTTAGCACTTATCATTGCCTTGTATATTACATATTTGTTCATTTCTGTATTGTCTATCTCTCCCCATTAGGATATATGTTCCAGGGGAACAAAGACCTCAACATTTTTCTCAGTGCACTATCCCCAGTACCTAGAATAATAGACAACAAATTATTACTGAATAAATTAATGAATCTGTGAACTAGCCTATCTCCATTTGTTTTCTCATAATTATTACCTAGACAGGAATATTCTTTTCTTCCTGGAGTATCTGACAAAAATCACATTCATATTTCAAGCTCTAGCCCCTTAATATGAGGCATAATTTCTTCTTTCCCTGTGTTCCCACCATACTCTGAGTCTCTCCTATGCAAGAGTGTTCATCTTATTTTACTCTATTGGATATGGAAGGGAAGATGACTTTTTCTCACTAGAAAGGCCCTATTCTGTGCCTTCACTCACTTTTCCCCTGTGGAGGTTAGCTCACTCACCTACTGGTCACTTAGGGAAGAATAAACTGGGGAGGCTCAGTTCTGACCCTGCATTTTCCTCCTAGGAGAGAGCTGCCTGCAGAGAGCGTGAGTCCTGATCCCTTGTCCCAGGGCAAAAGAGTTTCAGAGGAAGCCCAACTCCACTGGGCGGGTGAGTCCACGTGATCCCGGGGTCTGACCTGCAAGTCCATTTGCTCTCTCACACTAAGCTACATACTCCAGCCTAACATTTATCAGCAATAAAGGCTGACTCTTTTTCTATTTCTCAAGTTTTTCAGGACCTGGAGAGGAGAAGGAGATGAAGAGTGTCATTTATTGTTTCCTCAGTTATCTCAAGAGGTCCACGTCTATCTCTCTCATGAAGCGTAAGCACTCCTCTGACTCAGAACACTCAGTTAACTGAGGTGCTTTTTAAACAGAGATATGGATTTAGATCATGGAGCATATCCTCTCACCCGTGACCAGTAGCCAATATTGCAGAACAGCTGACAGAAATGTGGTAGGGATGCTGCGTGACTACCTGGGCATTACTCTACAGAGCTGGATCACAGAACCTAACTTCATTAGCATCATAGTCTAATGAGATAACTAGTGAGTGCAATAAATACTTGATGACTACGAATAAAGTCAGCAAAGAAAACAGATTTGGTTTGGATTTTCTAGCCCTCATACCGCACATTCACGTACACACTTTGAAACTACTAAGTTGGGAATGATGTATGCTTAATTATGAATAACCGTTAATTTAATATACTTTTTAAAAATAAAACTGTTTCTCATGGCAGGCAAATTGAGTGCTCCAAATCACTCTGATACATTCACAAAACTCTGGAAGACCTAATTTTGTAAATGGGTCCTTTAGCACACAATTTGACTCTCAGAGTATACTCTCCTCACCCTGGCTCCCCACAGGGTCACTGTACCCACAAAGCACTTAGATTACATTAAAATTCTATAGAATGTGGTTTTATTTCATGAAATAAAATACAAGCAAAATAACTACAGTCTTTCCATTAGAAGAAAATAAAAGAAGAAAGCAAATCTGCTCACCTGAAAAGACATCAAGTCTTTCAGCCCCTGCATCTCTGGAAACAATACAAAAATATTATTTCTTCAATATGAAATGAATTGCTTACATAAGGTATAACCTATTGTCAGATATCAAACAATACAAAAATCCACTTAAATTGCTTCAAAATCAATTTCTAAAACGTTTCACCGTGCTATTATATCATAAGACCTATGATTAGTCATAATTTGAGAATATGAAAAAGACTGCAACTCAGAAATGTGAAAGAAGAGATGGAATTTAGTGGGAATTACACAAAAAACTAACAAAATGGATATAATTTAAAAAAAAAAAAAAAAAACAAAAAAAGCTGGCTGGCAAATAATCCAGAAGTCATGGAATGTTTTTCATATTTTAGTTCAAAAAAAAAAGAAAAATCAAATTACTAGGTAATAGTGTACTATAAGAAGACATTTTAAAGAACATACATGGAAGGAAAGAAATCAACATGTTAATAGGAGTTTTCTCTTTGTTAGAGGTTGGAAAACTATAGCCACGGACCAAAATGGCCCATCAACTGTTTGTAAATAAAGTGTTATTGGAACACAATCATGCCCATTCATTACATAGTATCTAAGGTTGCCTCAGCACTACAGTGGCAGAGTTGAGTAGTTTCAAAGGAGACCCCGTATCCCACAGAGGTGAAAATATTTGCCATCTGGTCTTTTACAGAAAAGGATGCTGACTCCTCTTCTAGGTGATGAGAGTACTGATGAAGACTGTTTTAAAAAAAATTCTCCATTTTCTAAAATTCACAGATATTATTTTTGTATTTTTTTACAATTATTTTTAAAAGTAAAATTTTTAATAGAAAAGAAGAAAAGGCCAGAAGACTCTGGCTTCAATATCGAGGGTGTGAGAGAAAGGAGGAAGGCATAGGCAAGGAAGACTTAGCTGATGAGGAAGAAGGTAAGTTAAGGCAGGGAGGAGTCTAAAAGGAAGCTCAGTGCAACAACAGCAACTATGTAACTCTGGTGGGGAAACCTGAGCGTCTCTCCAAAGTTCCATCAGTTCTAAACCCAAAACTCCCAGACAAATCTGAGTAGGTACACTGTACTTGCTCCACAGGCCTAGAAGTTAGTCCCATATAGCTCCTTCCTCTAGCCAATTGCTGCTTCTCAGCCCTCCCTATATAGACACTCTGGAGTTACCACTGCCATTTCTTGAGCACCTCCCATGTATCAAGTAAGCACTGAATGGTGTATTTTTGAAAATTCTCTTCCGATCCTTACCATAGTTCCATAACACATAGGTATCAATATCTCCATTATATAATCATGCATTATACAAAGTACCATGTACACAATAAATGTTTAATAAATGCCACTGTACTGAAATGTAAGTTTTTAAAGAGGTAGTTTTTTCATGCAGCACTTCCACGGATTAAGGCATAAAATAATTCACCTTTATCATATATTAAGACATTTTATAATAATCTTTGTTCTTTAGCCCAGGATACTTCCTTTCTGAAGAGCTATTGTATTAGGAAGAGGACCCTAACAAATCCTTCCTATATCACCACACATTCTTCTTCTCTCTCTACAATATTCTTTTAATATCTTTCAGTTCTAATTTTTAAAACTACAGGAAATCATTAAAATATTGAATACAATGATATAAAAGAATTTCTTAGAATAACATGGGGACTTCATAAAGTTCTCCTTCGTAAGACCAACTCAGTATCTTAAGTCTGTTAAATAGCTTCTTTTGATGTCAACTACTAGCATCTAAGCAATGGTGGAAAACTCAAACGTCCATGAAGAAAGAGGGACTGAAGGGTTGAGGCTGTCCACGGGGGAAAACTGGAAATGAGGCAAAGCTGAAGGCATGGGCTGGTCCCAAGAGAGCACCTGCTACTCACCTCCAGCCCCTGATCCCGTGGAGGAATGTGGCCTTGAGGTTGCTACTTCTCCTAATCTTTCAAGGAAGGCAGAGGGCCCAAATTTTTTATTTGGTATCTCCAATATCTTAAACCTTATAAACAATTCCTTTTTTCTCCCTTCCTTTTCTTTATAAACACTGTGCAAACTTTCACTATAAGCCAAACACACATAAGACAGGCTGGACCTGGTCAAGGGGCTGCCAGCTTACAAATGCTGCTCTAAGAATTAGTTTATCGATCACATTTCTCTCAGTCCCCTGAGTCTGAAGTCAATCTTTCTTTCCCAATCAACCTCTACTACATAAAATGTTTCTTTTATTCTACTTCTTCCACATTCTGATTTTACTTGTCCTCCTTTGTTGAATGAATGAAAGAAACAACTTCAAAGGAGAAAAGACAGTTGGAAAAATAGATAAATGTGTTCTTTCAGACTTGCAGATGTCAAGTTGCTGAAAGTGGGCCCATTCAGTAGGAGGCAGGACCGATGACATAGGAGGAGCCTTGCTTCCAAGCTTTGAGCAGCAGCAACAGTAGCAACCCTAAGCTCCTTTAGGGAAGCTAATCAAAAGTGTTTATCTTTCTTGGCTTCATCCTTATTAGCTCCTTCCAAGCTGAGTTCATGGCTCTGAACAAGACTTTATTCTTTTTCTCTACTTCCCTCCCTTTTTATGATTCCATTAGCTCAACAGAGAGAGTTTCCTAAAAGGAGGAGATAACGACTTTCTACTTAGTGCAGGGCAGGAATTTCTGGATGGCTGGTTAATTGACTACACTTTGTGGTCACACTCTCAGAAGGGTCATCTCCCATCTAAGGCAAAAAATGGGGAACAAATGCAAAAAAAGCTAAAACACTGTTATCAACCAGTGGCAGGGAATTTAGGCTCCTACTGAGATCCTTGATCTAACAACTGCACATTACTTCCTGGATGGACTTTGCTTTCTAAGCAAAAGGTAGGAAAAAATCTTCTGTTATGGGGAATACCAATATAAAACACGTCAAATGCTTTATTCAATTTAACTGAAAAAAAAAAAAATGAAGCCCCTCACAAGCTCCCACAAATACACTACTGAGCAGAACTTAAACTGTTTAACGGGTTCCTTAATCATTAATACATTTATTAGAGACAGTAAAATACGACAGTGAGGTTCTGCAGCCAGACTGCCCAAATTTGAATGCCAGCTCTGCCAAATATGAATTATGTGACTTTGAATAAATCATCTAATCTCTCTATGCATCAATTTCCACACATGTAGAACTAGGATATTAATTCCCATCTCAGAGTGTAGATATAAGGATGCATGACATAATGCTCATATATAAAGTGCTTATGTATGTCTGATATATAGTAAGAGATCAATAAGTTAGCTATTTTCTTAACTATACAATTTGCTTCTACGCAGACTTCAATAAATGCCCAAATACATGTGTAAATTCTCAAGACAAGTATACACTGACATATAATTCAAAAAATATCTAAATGAATATGTACAATTAAATGGTTATTAACATAAAAACAGACTTCAAGTTTGATCATAAATTAAAATTAAATAAAGGTGAATAATTATTTCTCTCAACTATCCTTTTTCCTAGAACACCTTGATTTTATAGGAAATCAAGTCACAAAACATTCCAGATGGGAAAATATGACATGATCTTTTTATCTTCCCATGTAATTAGACAAGAGTTATGTCATGAAATTCCCTCAGTAACTGTTGTTTACAGATAAACCTTACCTTGCATTGTCCAGCAATTCAGCCAGTGCTCCAAAAAGGAAACTGTGAGTGGTGCTGATGAAGAAATAAAGAGAAAACAAAAAGTTAAACCAGGTGTGTAATCAATGTAAAAGCTTTAAGATTCTTGCAGACAAACGTTCTCCAGTTCCAGACATCTAGTGAATTAAGAAGTTACTCTAGAAACAACTCTCTCAGCACGGTCAAGATTCGGAACTAGATACCCTCCATTATGAAGCGAGGGTTAAAAACACTTTTGCCAAAATATCCTGTCCACTTCTAATAAAATAAAAATTTAAGGGCCTTAGTATCTATCATTGAAATAAACTTTGACCTTTTAATATTACTTTATAAGCATGTTTTCAAGTGAGGTTTTTCCCAGAGGATTTTTCATTAAAATTGTATTATTTAAAGACAAGATATTTCTGAAGAATACTGATCAAAATCCTTGCCTACTAAAAGGCCATAAGGCTCCATGTGCAGGCAAAGGAACTGGCAGGAAGCCCTTGCGTGCCTCACCAATCTGTATTTTTCTGCAGAATCTTTCCACCGCTGAAAAGCCTGCTCCTTACATAACCTTAAAAATGGCCTCAGGTCACTTTCTCCTGTACCCTCGAATGCCAGGTCCTCGGTAACAGAATGCTCCAGACAGCCTTCAGTATTTACAACAGTTTGGAGGGTGCACAGTTATCTGAGGGTGGAATCACACTAGCTTAAGGCTCCCATGCTTGCTTCTCATGTCCTGATGAGGCATATTTCAATCAGCAACCTTATCACAGCATTAAGGGAATATTCAGCATGCAATTTTCTTTCTATATTTAGTAAACAGGTAACAGAAGCAAGAGAGCCTCATTTATCAAAAATACATCTGCTCTTCTATACAAGAGAAAGCATCATCTGCAACCTCAGGCCACAGGACAACACTTTAGTTTAAAATGTATTTTTAAAACACACACACACACACACACACACACACACAGAGAGAGAGAATATATCCCCACATTTTGGAGTTTCAAACACAGAGGATGATTAAAAGTCTCATGAGTCAAGTAAGCTTTAAATTTTGTAATTAAGAAAAAAAACTACTAAAATGTTATTGTTACAAAAAGATGTCCTTCACCCAAAAGAAAGCCATTATAAAAATGTAAAATAGTGTAAAAGAGAAATACGATATGCTTTACAAAATCAGGACTTTAAATCACAAGCCCTTCTAGGAAATTTAAAGTACATGATTCAATATACAAAAATTCAATACATAAACAATCCTTTAGAAAAGCAACTGCAGTAATTCTGACCAAAAATGTCATATGAATTTCTGCACTAGCTCATTCAAGAGATTGTCACTGACTGCCTACCATGTGCCAATGTGTACAGGCAGGGTCTTGGATGTCCTGGAGCTCAAGCTGGTGGGGTACACGGAAAACACACAAGTAAACAAACTTATGAGGATGATATTACAGATTTTGACTGAGTGCTAACTTCATAGTAGTGATGGGAAAGAGTAACTGGTGAGGAGGGGCATGGTGGTAGGGAAAGCACCTCTTGGTAAAAGGTATTTAAACTGAGTCCTGAAGGATGAGAGAATTCACTCCCTTGCAGAGTACGGTAGAAACTTTTTACCAAGAGCAAGAGATACAAAGACCCTCGAAGCAGAAAAAGAGCTAAGGAGACCAGTGAGCTCCGCTTATGGTAAAATGGGGAGAACAGGTTGAAATGAGGGCATGGCTGGGTCATGCAGGGCTTCCTAGCCCACAGAGAAGAGCTTGTACTTGGCTGACATACAACTGGAAACCACTGTAGTGTTTTAAGAAAAGGGGCGTAAGTTGGTTTACATTTTAAAAAGCTCACTCTGGCAGCTTTCCAGGAAAATGGACCATCTAGCAGCCAGAATGGGAAGCAAAGAACCCAGTTAAGAGGCTGTCTGGAGTAGTCTGGACAAGGGACAGTGGTGGCTTGGACTAAAGTCAGTGGCAGTGGAGACAGAGAGAAATGGATGATTTGAAACATATTTAGAGAAAGCATGCACTCTGGATTGGACATAGAGGTAAAGGGAGAAATTTAAAAATCACTCCTTTTGCAGTAGGAAGTCTCAAACAAAAATCTACCTGGGCAGAGCTCAGTGGCTCATGACTGTAATCCCAGCACTCCGGGAGGCCGAAGTGGGAGGATCACCTGAGCTCAGGAGTTCAAGGCCAGCCTGAGCAACATAGCCAGACCCCATCTCTACTAAAAATTTTTTTAAAAAAAGAATTAGCCGGGCATAGGGGTGCATGCGTGTAGTCCCAGCTACTCGGAAGGCTGAGGCTGGAGGATCACTTGAGCCCTGGAGTTCAAGGCTACAGAGAACTATGATCATATCACTGCATCCCAGCCTGGGCCACAGAGCAAGACCCTGTCTCCAAATCCAACCAACCAATCTAGCTGGAGGAGCTGAGAAGTCTTCCATTTGTATCTAATTTTGTTGTTACTCCATGTCACTGTCACTTGTTAAGTTACTACACCACCAGTTGAAAATGGTACTGGGGAAGTGGCTACCACAGGGTGGTTTGGGGGAATGGAGGTTGTGAAGCAGTAGCCACAAAATCCATATAAAACTGAGGCTGAGGAATTTTTCTGAGATAAAATTCACAGTCCTTCCAGCACTGCCCTGAGCATTTTTCTTAAACTCACTCGAAACTATTATTTCTTCATTTGTCTTCCACCTCAGCTACCTTTTAACTTTTTGTTCCACCTTTTCCAGCTTGACATCATTCTCTAAAGAGAGATGAAAACTGAGTATCTGCTGAATATTGCCTGTTTAACTCTGCTATGTTAAAATTATACAGTCTGTCCCACAGAGCAAGGGTGGCCTTCCCTGGCTTTCTTTATACCTCCATTTCTGTGGTTTCAAATTTGGTACATCCCTGATATCTGTTCCTATATTTAGTAAATCCAAATTACCAAAAGATGTCAAAAAAAAAAAAAAAAAAAAAAGAAACATAAAGAAAAACCCGGACGTTCCACTGTGAATTAAATAGCACTAACTGCTATAATTTGCTGTATGGGAAATGGCAGATGAGAGAAAAAACCTCTGTCATTCCCCTCTGCAATCTGACTATCTGAAATGACACCTGAGAAGCTCTAAAAGGCAGACAGGCATGGCAGAGAAGAAGAAATGACCAAATAACTAAAAGGTGAGATTCCTATCCTTAGAGAGGTTACATTTTTGAAAAGACTCAGGAGGCCATAGAGTTTGAAATCAATATATGCAAATTACTCTGTTTGAAGGGCAACTTTAATGTTTAAATTGTCAGTGTGTTAGGCAGACTAAGGTTAGGCAGGATTGGTAGAATCACAGTTCTGCTGACCAACAATTAAACAGTTGTGTTAAATGATAAATGTAGGGCCTTCCAACCACTTGGTGTTCACTGAAGAGCACCTAAAGGGTTCAGCCTGGCCCAGAATATATCTTTATTATGCTTTCATCGTTTTAAAAAAAGCCTATACAGCTCAAATAAATAAATAAATCCATAAATCAAGTTCACTTGCTGAGTATTCCTCAGGGGACGGGCAAAACCTTTCTTCATGGCGGGCGCAGAGACCCTCCCCGACCCCGACCCCACCTCGGCACTCACGAGTTGGCGTGGATGAAATCCAGACGCAGCTGGGCCCGCTGAAGCGCAGGGTACCTGTCGTCCATGCCCTCGAACACGACCCGCGCAACTCAAGGGGACAAGGACACCTGACCGGCAGCCGTTCGCCTGCGCCCGCGCCCACTCCCACGCCCACGCTCACGCGCAGAGGGCGGGTTCAGCAAACACGTGCTCCCCCTTGCGGCGGGACCGCGAAGCTCCCACTGCGTCGTCGACTCAGTTGTCTCGCGAGGTTTGTTGCTTGGTCTTGGAGCCACAATTTGAGAATGACGTATCTGAGTTAGAGTCTCCTGGAATTGAGGTTTATGTAACTTTTTCAGACGGTTGTTCCCCACCCTGCTCCTCTCAATCACTCCCCAGCTGGAAAATGGAGCCCAAAACTGGTATTAAAATTTGATTCGAAATGATTACACATTCACACAAGATGGTGGGGGAACGTGGGCGGCAAGGCAGGACAGTGCGGGGAAGGTGAGTGGGTAGTTCTCTTTGCTTGTCCATTGTGTTACATAGAACCAGAGGTAAGAGTGCTCTGTCCTGTAATCCTAGCACTTACCTTCCTGTGTCTCTTGAGTTGATCATGTTTTTTCTATTTGGAGGAAAAAATGAAAAACAAAAGTGACAAGCCGGAGAGAAAACAAAAGGAATAACTAAAGACAATCAGAACAGAATTTGGACTTTAATATAGCGGCTTGTCCCTAGGTGAGAATAGCTGCCCCCACCTGAATGGATCACTAACCTTTTTTACCTGTCAGCTGACATGCGACTATTGCACTTGCTGGCCTGGCTCAATGCCTAGATATTCGGTATTGCTCCAAAAGATAGAACTAGGCAGGTAGAAGGTAGGGGTGCGGGGTTGGGGCGGGTAGATAAATATGAGGAAGGACTGCGCAGATGTGTAGAACAGCTGTATAAATAAATGGTGTTTCTCTACTCACAAAGCCCTGAGTTCTTAAGTCACCAAAACCCAAGCTGATTCAATGTCTTTTGACTTGGAAACCAAGGTAGTTCAATAATACTCAGCAAAGATTTTACATGATAGTCATAAAGTCAGAAACAAACATCTATTAAATAAAGAACTTGAACTAGATGTGTTTGTAATTTCCAGGCATCATACAGGCAGTGAAGCTCTCAGAAAAGAAAAAAAAAATAGTTTTGGAGTAGTCATTCTACTTCCAAAGAGAGGAGTTTATCAACTACTACATTTATGGGAATCAGGAGAGGAAGAGAGAATTTGAATGGCAACCCGAAGGAACATGATGTTCTAATTTCAAAACTGGAAGTAAACATAAACATTTCAAGTAATTTTCCTGATTGCATTTTTGTTTTAACAGTGGCTGATGTGGTGATGTTTTGACAGCAAAATTCTCTTTACTAAGCAACTTGAGCGATCTTTCCAATTTTTCCTTCTATAGAACTTCACAAATACGATATTTTATTTTCATTTTATGAGCAAGAAAAGCTTGACAAGTCTCTTCTGGATTTATTTTACTACCCAATTTCCAGCTGCTATCTCAAAGCAATTTACTATCGGAAGAGCACCGGAGCCACCAGCCTATAATTAGTAAAGGCTGTAATATCTAATTTTTATCAGAGGGAAGGGTGTGATTATTGCAGAAGCACTCCTTCTTATAATCTGAGCAGAGACTTCCTACAGTAAGTGGCCAGCCCCAAAGCACCAGACAGTACTGGTTAGCCTGGATGACAGGGACAGAGAGAATCCATTAGATTGTGCTTAAAAAGAGGCCTGAAAGTCACTGCACAGAATCCACCAAAAGCCATTCCCCGCCTCCCCATTTCAACACTGTTTAGCCACTCTGCCATCATAAAGGCAAACCTTGTTTCTCCACAAGGAGTACTTTTGTGATTGCTTATTTCAGCCATATCCCTCAACCCTGCCTCAAGATTCATTTTAACATTATTTCATGGTAAAAAAAAAAATACTGGGGGAGTGGCAGGGAGGGGAAATTTAAAATAAGAATGCCATTTGATCATCTAATGATTGGTACTGATATTAAGGAAAGCCTGTTTGGGATAAAAGACTCATCAGCTCTTCCTAACTTAACATTTCAGATTTGTAAAATTCATATTGTAGTCACAAATAATGGCTCAAATCTTTCAGACTACACTTTCCCTCTCATTTAAACAGCTATTATATGAACCAGTGTTTCATTGCTCTTCACAAACATATTGAACTCAAGACAAATTTCATAAGCATAAAAAACTGATGTTTTGAACCTACCGACCATCCACAATTGTTTGCCATTTCTTAAGAACTAGAATTTAGAAGTGACATTGGCATACTATAATAAACACAGAAAGCAAATGCTATTAAATTGATGATATTAAAAGAGGCCAAGGACCCTCAATTGGCAATAGGAAAATACATCTGAAAACTTCTCACACTCTTTGCTTTGGCTTCCATATTTGTCTCCTCCAAAACTCATGTCAAAATTTAATCTTCAATGTGGTAGTTTTGAGAGGTGGGACCTTTAAGAGGTGATCGGGTCATGAGAGCTCTGCCCTCATGAATGGATTAATTCATTCATAGATTAATGAGTTATCATGTGAGTGGGACTGGTGGCTTTATGAGAAGATGAAGAGGGACCTGAACTAGCACATTCAGCCCCCTCTCATTATGTGATGTCCTGGGCCACCTGGGGACGCTGCAGAGAGTTTCCACCAGTAAGAAGGCCCCTACAAGATATGTCCCCTTGACTTTGAACTTGTGAGCCTCTATAACTATAAGAAATAAATTGCTTTTCTTTATAAATTACTCAGTTTTAGGTATTCTGTTATTAGCAACATAAAGTGAACTAAGACACTCTTCTTATTTTATTGCATTCATGTGAGACAATCTGATTAGTGTGTTTTTATCTCTCTCAATCTACTCCATGTTAGACAATGGTAGAGTTTTCATTGCATTAATCTAAGTTATTTATATTACTGGAAATCTTTATGCCCAGGTATGCAGCACAGTGGTAAGCACGTCTGAAAATTGTAGAAAAATACGAGGTCATGAATTTGCCCAAATAGTAGTGATGGTATTAGAAGATTTAGTAAATAGGGTAGTCACTTTGGTTTGGGTAACCCAATAGCCATTTCCAACTGTCTTATTTCCATCTCACAGCTGAAAGCTTGCTTTCCTGTACTCTTCTGTAGTGAGGGATGACCATTTGACCCAGTCTTCAGAAATAAGATAGATGTAAAAGTATGCTAAGTGGTTTCTAGAAAGGCTTTTGCTTTCCTATTAAAAGGCACAGGCCGGCCTGGCTCTATCTCCCTCCTGTGTGTCTGCCTTGAATACAAGCACGATACCTGGATCTTTGGGTGTCATTGGCATCCTTGAGGAAAAAGTCAAGAAAATCACTTGAAGCTGCTACAAACATTCTCGAATTACTAAACCAAAACCAGCAGTCTCTCACCTCCAGATTTTTTGTTGCAAAACAAAACTGAAGTTTAATCCTTATTTGTTTAAGTAATTAGAGTTAGCTTTTCTTTTACTTGGAACCAAAGCTATTTTAACTGATATAGAGTAGCAAAGCATAATGCCAGAAAGCACCAGAAGTAAACATTCTTTTCATGGTTGGGCATCAGCAAAAGAATATTTATTATAAAGAGTGATATTTATGTTTTTTCTTGACAGAAGTGGTAAATGTGAATTGGCAGAAAGGAAGGAAGACACTGCAGACGGGAGCAACCACTGGAACAAAAAGATAGAGGAAGGGGCAGGACATACGTGTATGGAATATAATAACTAGAATCACTAGACTGAAGCACAGGAAGGGACAAGGTTGGCCAGGTAAAGAAGGAGAGCCTTGAAAGATGGGTTTGTGTTTCAGGGGTTTGCGTGTCAGTAAACAGGTTTATGTTTACTGTGATACATCATTTAGAGTCATTATTGGCTCATCTAGTGAATCAGCCATCTATTTGGTGAAAGCCAGCTCTGTGGTCATCCCAAGAGGGTAGAAAGAAAAACACCTGTTCTTGCATTCAAAAAAGTTATAGTTTAATAGAGGCAAATGTATCAGGTTTCAATCTAGGAAACAGAAACCATTCCAGGTACTTCAAGTACAACGAAATATAATATAGGGAAATGGATATTTATAAAACTTCTGGGAGGAATAGAAGGGCCAAAATCAGGGGCTCACCACTGGACAATTGAATTCAGGCAAACTTCATAAAGCTGCAGAGCATAGGGCAGCATCTGCTGATGCCACGGCTTTGTTGTCTCCAGTTACCTATGGGGATGGCTTCCAGATGGTAGAATGCTGAGCCTGGCCATTGCCTCTAAACCCTCACATCCCATGTTCTGCATGCTAGCAGCAAAGTATTAAAAAAGAGACAGAGACAGAGACAGAGACAGGGAGACAGAGAGACACAGAGAGAGAGAAAGAGAGGAAGAAAAGCATCTGACTTCTGATTTATAGAACATAGTCTAGTTGGTAGAATCCTTTTTCACAACCAGAGCCTTGGTTGCTAAAACATCTAAATGTAGTTTCTAGTTTTTCATCCTCTCTTACAAAACAGACTGAAGAGAAAGTACACAGAGACAGAGGGAATTTCTACTGCATTAATAGGCTTTTAAGGCATCAATTAGAGAAGTAAGGTCTTAGAGGTTCTCTGAGAGAAGGCTGGTCTCCAAGGAGGGAGGCGGGTTAGGAAAGATCTCAAAGAAGCAATGAAATTTGAACAATGCCTTGAAAGATGAACTTACATTTGCCAGGAAAAAGAATCAGAATTGGCATTCTATGTAGACTGCCCAGTTTAAAAAAGAAAAAGTATGAAGCTGCCTGGGCATTCAGTAAGTAGCTCATTATGTCTGGAGTGTTTTGTGCAAAGTGGGGCAGGAGAAGAGGAAATGGAAGTTTAGATGGAACTTGAAAGGAAGTGAAACTCAGATCATGGTGAGTCCTGAATACCATGCAGAAAAATTTGAAATGTATCTTGAAATGAGGCTTGGGAAACCAGACCCAAGCCTCCAGCAGTGGAGTACCATGAATGAATTTAGTCCTCATAAGGATCATTCTGGATGCATGTGGAGACTAGACTGGAGGAGTTCAAGACTAGAAGCAGAGAAGCCAGTTAGAAGAGTGTTGCAATAGAAAGTAAGAAACAGAACTCTTGAGCTGGGGAGAATCTTGATATTAAACAAAGAAAAAGTGAATTGGATGCCCTGATAACTTATTTAGCTGGAAAGGTCATCCCTAAAAGACTTGAAGTAAAGTGAAGAAGAGATAATGGAGATAAGAACTAGAGTGGTGTGGCTCTGCCTCTGCCTCTGCCTCTGCCTCTGCCTCTCCCTCTCCCTCTTCTCTCTTCCCTCTTCCCTCTCCCCTCTCCCCTCTCCCCTCTCCCCTCTCCCTCTCGGTCTCCCTCTCCCTCTCTTTCCACGGTCTCCCTCTGATGCCGAGCCGAAGCTGGACTGTACTGCTGCCATCTCAGCTCACTGCAACCTCCCTGCCTGATTCTCCTGCCTCAGCCTGCCGAGTGCCTGCGATTGCAGGCGCGCGCCACCACGCGTGACTGGTTTTCGTACTTTTTTGGTGGAGACGGGGTTTCGCTGTGTTGGCCGGGCTGGTCTCCAGCTCCTAACCGCGAGTGATCCGTCAGCCTTGGCCTCCCGAGGTGCCGGGATTGCAGACGGAGTCTGGTTCACTCAGTGCTCAATGGTGCCCAGGCTGGAGTGCAGTAGCGTGATCTCAGCTCGCTACAACCTCCATCTCCCAGCCGCCTGCCTTGGCCTCCCAAAGTGCCGAGATTGCAGCCTCTGCCCGGCCGCCACCCCATCTGGGAAGTGAGGAGCGTCTCTGCCTGGCCCCCCATCGTCTGGGATATGAGGAGCCTCTCTGCCTGGCTGCCCAGTCTGGAAAGTGAGGAGCGTCTCTGCCCGGCCGCCATCACATCTAGGAAGTGAGGAGCGCCTCTTCCCGGCAGCCATCCCATCTGGGAAGTGAGGAGCGTCTCTGCCCGGCCGCCCATCGTCTGAGATGTGGGGAGCGCCTCTGCCCTGCTGCCCCGTCTGGGATGTGAGGAGCGCCTCTGCCCGGCCGCGACCCCGTCTGGGAGGTGAGGAGCGTCTCTGCCCAGCCGCCCCGTCTGAGAAGTGAGGAGACCCTCCGCCCAGCATCTGCCCCGTCTGAGAAGTGAGGAGCCCCTCCGCCCGGCAGCCGCCCCGTCTGAGAAGTGAGGAGCCCCTCTGCCCGGCAGCCACCCCGTCTGGGAAGTGAGGAGCGTCTCCTCCCGGCAGCTGCCCCGTCCGGGAGGGAGGTGGGGGGGTCAGCCCCCCGCCCGGCCAGCCGCCCTGTCCGGGAGGTGAGGGGCGCCTCTGCCCGGCCGCCCCTACTGGGAAGTGAGGAGCCCCTCTGCCTGGCCAGCCGCCCCGTCCGGGAGGGAGGTGGGGGGGTCAGCCCCCCGCCCGGCCAGACGCCCCATCCAGGAGGGAGGTAGGGGGGTCAGCCCCCAGCCCGGCCAGCCGCCCCGTCCGGGAGGGAGGTGGGGGGTCAGCCCCCCGCCCGGCCAGCCGCCCCGTCCGGGAGGTGAGGGGCGCCTCTGCCCGGCCACCCCTACTAGGAAGTGAGGAGCCCCTCTGCCCAGCCACCACCCCGTCTGGGAGGTGTACCCAACAGCTCATTGAGAACGGGCCGGGATGACAATGGCGGTTTTGTGGAATAGAAAGGGGGGAAAGGTGGGGAAGAGATTGAGAAATCGGATGGTTGCCGTGTCTGTGTAGAAAGAAGTAGACATGGGAGACTTTTCATTTTGTTCTGTACTAAGATAAATTCTTCTGCCTTGGGATCCTGTTGATCGGTGACCTTACCCCCAACCCTGTGCTCTCTGAAGCATGTGCTGTGTCCACTCAGGGTTAAATGGATTAAGGGCGGTGCAAGATGTGCTTTGTTAAACAGATGCTTGAAGGCAGCGTGCTCGTTAAGAAACATCACCACTCCCTAATCTCAAGTACCCAGGGACACAAACACTGCGGAAGGCCGCAGGGTCCTCTGCCTAGGAAAACCAGAGACCTTTGTTCACTTGTTTATCTGCCGACCTTCCCTCCACTATTGTCCTATGACCCTGCCAAATCCCCCTCTGCGAGAAACACCCAAGAATGATCAATAAAAAAAATAAAAATTAAAAAAAAAAAAAAAGAACTAGAGTGGTGTGAATGTAAGGTCTTGATTAGGAAAACTTAGGAGCAGGCTTTTCTAAATGAGATCAACAGATAGGAAATGCATGGAGAAAATATGTTTTGGTGGCTTAATTTACTACTTCTGGTATCTGAGAAAAGCAGAAAAGAAATAGGGGCCAAAAGTCAGTTCATGCTTTTAAGTCTTAAATCCTGAGCCAATGGCATTGTTGTTGATAGTACTGGGCAAGTCACAAAAAATTACCAGGTTGAGAGGTGGAAGAAAATGAGTTCATTTTTGTCAAAGTAGGATTTAGCACTAAATAGCATATCAAAGTAGAGAAAAATTGTCAATGAAGTTTAAATAAACATATGATTTTCCTATCTTCAATGGAATTAGCTAACAATGAGTTGTCATTTTTTCAATAAAATACACTTTTTGTTATGGAAAATAACTGGTGAAGTTTGTGAAACTTGTGTGCCTCTAAAATCAGAGTCTGAGGAGCTAGCTCATGGGGATAAAAGGAGCCAGTTAAAAATACCAGGAAGGAGAGAAACACACATAGGTAAACAGAAGGGGACATGCAAAGTCTATAGGTATTACTTAATACCTTTTAAGACTGACCAAAAAAATGTATAAAGAAAATTTTCTGCACAGAACCCCCATTTAGATGCTATTGTCCAATTTCTGAATTGAAGCTGTCAACTCAGTTGGCTTCCAAGAATTACACACCAGTCTCAATCTGAAAAGACAAGACAGGGTTTTCTATAATTGTATTTGCTGGGATTTGTCCATGGAAAATGAAGAGAAAATAGCACATAGAAATTCCTCCCAAACTTGTTTTATCTTCTTTCAGCAAAACCTTTTAAAAAAAACCCTGGCAAATAGCCAACTTTGGTGCATTATTAGAATGCAAAGTGATAAAACAAGACACATTGATCTTTGGGGCACACTGTAATAAAAGCCTTTTAAGAAGTTCAAAGGTGGAAAAAAACCTCACACATGTAAGGAAGACTTGTACCTTGACCTTTGAGCACAGCACTTACAGACATGCAATGAATCACTGGTAATTCAAAGGAAGAGGTAAGCACACTTTTCCTGCTGTCACAAAAAGAACTGCCTCTTAAAATTTCTTATCTAACTCAAATTGCAGACTTTTGAAGTGAATCAAATTGTCTTGTATTTTCTCCAATAGACAAATGTCAGTCTGAGGAACTTACTTACCGATCATTATATTATCTTCCTCTCATATCATACAACAACAACATACAGAAAATGCCTGGTATATTTTAGACACTCAAAACTTTTTGTTTCTAATTGACAATTTGTTGACTGTCTGATTTTCCTTGTACTAGTGTCATATCCCTCCCACATCAAATTGCCAGACTTCTGTCATTTGAAGTAAGCTTTAAAATGTCATCTCTGCTGGGCACGGTGGCTCACGCCTGTAATCCCAGAACTTTGGGAGGTTGAGGTGGGTGGATCACGAGGTCAGGAGTTTGAGACCAGCCTGGCCAATATGGTGAAACCCCATCTTTACTAAAAATACAAAAATTAGCCAGGCATGGTGGGATGCACCTGTAGTCCCAGCTACTCGGGAGGCTGAGGCAGGAGAATCGCTTGAACCCAGGAGGCGGAGGTTGCAGTGAGCCGAGATCACACCGTTGCACTCCACCCTGGGTGATAGAGCGAGACTTCATCTCAAAAAAAAAAAAAAAAAAAGTCGTGTCAACCTAAATAACAGAGAGAGGCCCTCTAAAAGAAAAAGATATCTATTAGGGAATAGAGCATTGCAATAGGAATATGCAATAGGAATATGGCATGCATATTCCATAGTAAACTATGTGCATATTCAGGGAGGTAAAGGAAGTCAAAGATTTTTTAAAGAAAAAATGAAAAGGATAACATAATTGTTTTGAAATAATTATCCTTGGCTACAAAGATCGACAGCGCAAAGGTGATTCCCGTCCAAGGTTAGACGAGCAGTTGCTGGGCAGATGTTCTTGCAAAAGTATTTTTTGTGTGAGGTCACGATGGCCTTTATACGAGGTTATGATTTTTGCAAAGTCTTCTATGATAGTTTTGTTATCAGACATACAAGCATGAGAACCCTCTCTGCCTGGCCTTCCCCGGCAATTTTGTCAGGGTTTTTTGTTTTTGTTTTTGTTTTAACACTAGTGACTATTTTAATTCTGACAACTTTCACAGTTGTAATAAAAGCATTTTAAAATAGGCACAGCATTTGTGTATAACCAAAACTGCACACTTTTAGAATAATTTTTTGTTTTATTTATTTATTTTATTGTTGGATATTCATTATTTTTGTTTCACCATAATAATTATATGACCATAAAGTAACAATTTTTAAAAAGCCCAACCTGTTAAAAGAAATAAGCCTATAATGTGATGTCAGGGACCCTCTACCATCAGCCCAGTACTCCACCATCCCTTTATTTGTAGCCTGAAATTTCTTCAACAAGGCATAATACCTTTCACTGTACAGATACCCCTGGGAAAAAATGATAGGATGTAGTGGAGGAGAATTGCTGAATGCTGGCTGATTGTAAAAGCACAAGTTTCAAGGTTCCAAATTGTGAAACACTGATATTATCCTGCTCTTCTGGCTGAGAGGCATTTGCTGGATATTCCTAGCTTGAATGGGGACTGAATTCCTGTCCAGATAAGGGGACTGACTCTTAGACTTTATCCTGGTATGAAGGTTAATGATGGAGCATCTTCGTGGGTCTTCTGACTGATAATGTGAAATGCCACTGGAAAACATTGAATCAATAAAAAATGCCAACCGGCTTTGATATGCCATGTGTATATGGGGATTGAAACTCCATGACATCTCTCAGGTTTCCAAATTCCACACCTTTTTGTGTAGAGAGGTTGGGAGGGAGAGTGAGTTGTTCGTTCTGAGTCTGAATCCCTTCCACAGTGGCTTCCTGCCTTTGCATCATTCTCTGTAACAAGCATCTTTCAATCTCTCTTTTTTTTTTGGTGGGGGAAGCATGGGAGTATCTATTTGTCTTGAAATCACTCACTTGTCCTTCCCCTACTCCTGGAAGAAGCACTCTCTACCCTCTAATCAGTTACTATCAAACTAGTAGATGGGTTGTCTCTATTCAGAATGTCACTCCCTGCCAAAGCGAATCACCTCATCTTCTAAGGGGGCCCCCATCTCCAGGTAGCCTGTCACTAATGAAGAGTGATAGTTGGAGTGGATATCATCACTCCGAAAGCAACCACTCCAAAAGTGATATTTTCTTTTTTCATATATCCAACCCTTACAGATAAAAGTCTTCAAAAATACCAGAGATAATGAATATTTATTATAATTAATTTCCCACTGGCAAAATTTTCTCCCAGAAAGATGCATACCATATGCCAAGGAGTTCATGGGACTGTTTGAAACATTAGAAACTTTATTCAAGACAGCTAGGTGTATGACAAAATTGTATATAGTTGATCATATACCTACCCCCTCTTGTGTCTTTCACCTGCCTCTGGTGCACAGACATACCCCAACCTCTGCCATAGTCTCATCTTTATACCTGTATCTCAATCGGATCATTAAATATTTTTGTTTAATTATCTAAGATTGGGTGCTAATGTTGTTTATTCTTTCTAGGTTTGTAGTTTCTTTTCCTTTTTCTCATTTTCCTTTTCAGGACTATATGTCTATATTCTTCACCCAAAGCTCTTGTCTTTATAGCATCATAGTTCTCATCTAGAGTAACCAAAGGCTTAGGTACTAGTCCGTTCTCATACTGCTATGAAGAAATACCCAAGATTGGGTAATTCATAAAGGAAAGAGGTTTAATGGACTCACAGTTCCACATGGCTGGGGAGACCTCACAATCATGGGAGGAGGCCAAGGAGGAGCAAAGGCACATCTTATATGGCAGCAGGGAAGAGAGAGCGTGTTCGGGGGAGCTGCCTTTTATAAAACCATCAGATTTCATGAAACTTATTCCCTATCATGACAGCAACCTGAGAAAAACCCACTCCCGTGATTCAATTACCTCTCACCAAGCCCCTCCCATGACAGGTGGGGATTATGGGAGCTACAATTCAAGATGAGATTTGGGTGAGGACACAGCCAAACCATATGGGCTTACTACTCTTGGGAAGAAAATCTGATGGTAACAATGGAAAATACAGCATCCTACTAATACTGGAACATCAAAAAGGCCAGACTCTGTAACCATTATACCTCTATTAAAAGTGGAATTTCTACAAAATTCCTCCTAGGAACCCTTGGTATGGGGATAATAATAGTTTTGAGATCCTTGGAACATGCACTAAATTTGATTTTCTAGTTCCAAAGGATAATATTCTCAGGCTTGCTTGAGAAACATATATTACAACTGATAACAAAGAAAAATGATTATGCTAAGTCATTTAATGCCTATTACATGACCAGGATAAATTAAATAATCTGGATTTAAGACTCATGAGAAAGTCATTAATTCTACCTGAGGAACCTCCAAAAAATGGAGCCAAGGCCTGCCATGGATATAGGAAGCCCCTGGCAATCTCCCCAACTCACTCTTGCCCATTTCCATCTGCTCTGGTACATCTTCTTTCCATGAAAAAGAAATTAACCCATCAACCTGTTGGGTGACCTCAGTGGGAGTGAGAACTAAAATTTCACATTAGCTTTAACATGTTGGCCCAGAGATACAAATAATTTAACAATTTTGAATTACTAGGAAGGAAATGGAATCGGGAGATGGAGAGGGAAGATTGTAGAATAGCATTTCTTGTCTTCCTCAAACCTCTCTTCTATTCAAGAAGGAAAAGAAAGAAAAAACAATTCATCAATGGACCCGTCTACTGGGACTGTTCCTTCTGATATTCTCTATCAGCTTTCCAAAAACTCTTTTTTTGTCTGGGCACAGTGGCTCACACCTGTAATCCCAGCACTTTGGGAGGCCAAGGCGGGTGGATCACATGAGGTCAGGGGTTCAAGACCAGCATGGCCAAAATGGCGAAACCCCATCTCTACAAAAATTAGCCGGGCATGATGGCGTGCGCCTGTAATGCCAGCAACTCAGGAGGCTGAGGCGGGAGAATCATTTGAACCCAGGTGAGCTGAGATTGCGCCACTGGATTCTAGCCTGGGCGACAGAGCTGAGACTCCATCTCAGGAAAAAAAAAAAAAAAAAAGTCCTTTTCTTTATGGAAAATCAGAAGTTGGTAGTAACAAAACTGCCCACATTTGAAGGGTTTTGTCTTTGCTACTTTCATGGACTGAATTGTGTTGCCTCCCCCCAAATTCATATGTTAAAGCCCTAACCCTCAGTACCTCAGATTGTGACTGTAGTTGGAGATAAGGCTTTTACTGAGGTAATTAATTAAAAATAAGGTTGTTGGGATGGGCACTAATCCAATCTGGACTGGTACCTTTCTAAGAAAAGGAGATTAGAACACAGACACCAGAGATACGTATGTGCACAGAAGGATGACCATGTGAGGAGGTAGCAAGAGAGTGGCCGGAAAAGAGCCAAAAAGGAGACTTCAGAGGAATTCAAACTGCCAACACCTTCTTGGACTTCCAATCTCTAGAACTGTAAGAAATAAATTTCCATTACTTAAACCACCCAGGCAGTAGCATTTCGTTACGGCAGCCCTAGAAAACTAATACAGCTACCCAACAATCATGCATAAGAAGTAATTTCTGCTATTCTTATTCATCCATTGTGGCATCCCTCATGTTCTCCTTTTAACCTCTTACACCTTCCAAGCTAGGACTCAGAATTCTGTTTACTCTCTCCTATTCCCCTACCCACTCATGGCATTTAATTCCCATACACCTTCCTCCATATCCCTTTGCTGTATCAAGTCTCTGATTTTTTCCTCAAGGACCCAGGAATTTCAAGGAATACTTTAAATCCTTCAAAGCTAAGCCTTTCCCTGGTGAATCCAACTGTTGGTTTTACATGTACTGGACCGAAACACATGTACTTAGTTTTGATCCTGAGAAAGTCACACTGCTGAGGGCTCAATTACAGGTTGCAGCAGAAAAAGCATCATAAATCCTAGAACAGCCTTTACCTCAAATCTACGCTAGATTATCAAGTTTATCTTCTGTGATTACCAGAACCATGGGAACAGATTGAATCCCTGTGGAACTAATACTAATGTCCACAGAGCTACCTGCAGAGAAAATCTGGCCTTGTTCAATTCTACAGTGAATCTCCAGAAACGCTTTTTTTTTTCTTTTAGTTTAGTGAAGCATGGAAGACTTAGGAAATGACAGACTGTGTTTTGATAGTGAGCCAATTGGGCAAGGTCCCTTGATAGTTCTGTGCTCTGTAAGCGAGCTAGCACATTGCTGATGCTCAATAAATGTCACATATTGTCAACTATCAATTATTCAGAGTGTAATGAGAAAAATGCCTTGGCATGCATTACCGCAAAGCTTAATCACGAAGCTGTGTGACTCTAATACCATATCATATAACAGATTGGTGTTTTACTTAAATTGCTAGACTGTATACATTTGTATTAATGACACATCTTTAAATGACTCCAACTTGTTTATAGTGACAACCAACAGAAATCACTGAAATTATTGAACATCAGTAACAGGAAGTTTTTAAAGTAGGCCTAAAGAGTATTCATAAATGTACTGTGATGGCCCCAAATGATGCCTTGCTGATGCATAGTGTCCATTCAAGTCCCCTGACCTTTCCTCAGGCTCTGTTTTCCTGGATTTTTCTTCCTCCCCCAACTCAATTTGTCCTCATGGGAAAATCCAACTCACCTCACTGGGAAACATTCCCTGAAACTATTTTCTCCCACACAAGGAACAATTTTGATGTCTGTTTGTAATGCTAGTACTTGGAACAGTGCACATGGAATATGTTCAAATACATGGATTTTGAAACGTACTTAGAGCCTAGAAAGTGTCTGATAAATAGTTGTTGAATGAATGAATAACAACTGAAGGATAAAACTAAATTCTCAATTTTCTGTCTTTTAACGTTGCTCTTTGGTGCATATACAAATTAGGAAATAAATGGAAAAGAGTGAAAAGAAAGAGATCTTGGACAACATGAGCTTAATTGTCATCTTCAGATCCAAGGTCATATTGGATCATCTGAAGATCCAAGATTGGTCATTTTAAGATCCAAGATCCAATATGACCTTTGATCTTAAGATGAAAATTAAGCCCCATATAATGGGGAGCTCTCCTCTTCCTCAATGCAGGTAGGATCAGTCAGTCTTTGAAAGATCCTGAGCTACCTACAACTACTTATTCAAGTCCTTAAGCTACATTTCCAAACATTAAGCCTAAGTTATCTCAGGCTGTAGCAAATTTTTCTTTTTCAGACGGAGTCTCACTCTGTCGCCCGGGCTAGGCTGTAGCAAATTTTAAAGCCTGCAGTAACCACATTAAAATGAATACAAGGGCAGAATACATTTCTCTAACCTTTTAGCTAATTTCTCCAAGTTAATCTGGCTCCTACTGTTAATATATGGTGAATATATGCCCTCATGTCCTGATGACAGCAGCATTAAAGCCTCAGTAGATACGAGAAGAAGTATAGTGCACTTGAGTTGAGTGGAAAGATTAAATAGGGAATATACTTCATCTGTGTCCTCAGCAAGGCCTGATTTTATTCTTAAATTGAGAAAAAAATGAAAACAAATGTTTCAGCTTCCAAGACAGAACCATATTCTACACAATAATTGAAAAGGAGTTTTTAATTACACTAACTAGGTCCGAATCTTGTTATCTTGTGCCTTGCTAAAGAGCTACTTTCTGCGGGTAGCTCAAGACTTTACAGAAACCATCATTCATTCTTAGGATGTGGTTGCTAGGTCATTCTCTGCTTAAATACCAGGATATTCTCTCAGTCCTAGGAAAGAAATGGCCCCGCTAAGAGGTTTGACCTGATAATGATGACACATTATACTAACAATACAAATTATAGTAAACCTGTCAAATCAGTTAAAAATGATTCCCTTAACAGGTACTATAGTAAAATTTTGTTCTCATGTAGCAATTATTTGAGAGTCTCAAATAACTTCATATAAATAAGTGCTATCACCTGCTCACTTCCAATAAGTTGACTGTAGTTGAAAGTTCATTTCAATGTTTAGTTAAGAGTTAATATCTTCTCCTCCCCCAACACGTTGGCTGGCTCTCCACCTTTTACTGATGCCAGTGATGACATTGAATCATACCAAGCTGTACTATGCCCTCATTCCTTCTTATCAGAATTTTGTAAATGAGCATTACATTTTCCAAAGCTTTGTGGTTTGTAGAGTTGGATTGCCTTGCTGGCATGACTCAGAACAGAAACTAAGTTCGGCTTGCTTCTTGATAGTGTAAAGGTTTTTTTGTTTGGGTGTTTTTTTTAGTTTTTCTTTTTCTTTTTCTTTTTTTTTTTTTTTTGGAGACGGAGTCTTGCTCTGTCACCCAGGCTGTAGTGCAGTGGCGCAATCTCGGCTCACTGCAACCTCCGCCTCCCTAGTTCAAGCAATTCTCCTGTCTCAGCCTCCTGAGTAGCTGGGACTACAGGTGCGTGCAACCATGCCCAGCTAATTTTTGTATTTTTAGTAGAAACAGGGTTTCACCATGTTGGCCAGGCTGGTCTCATACTCCTGACTTCAAGTGATCCACCTGCCTCAGCCTCCCAAAGTGCTAGGATTATAGGCATAAGCCACCGTGCCCGGCCAAAAGGTTTTTGGTTTTTTTTTAACCTTTCTTTTTTCTTCTTTAAAATTTTTTAAATGATAGCAGATCTGATTTCACATGTTTGTCTTCTAACATTTATTTTTTGTTGATACGTAATATGGGAGCTTACCAAGGTCTGTCATATCATATTAAAGTAATGATTTCTAAGTATAAAGCATCAGAGTTGTAAACAGACTCCGTTGACAAGCTTCATTAATTCTTCCCACTTGATCTTTCTATTTTTCAAAGATATTCCAATTTGATTTCAAAGAGCATTTCTATATCTTTATAATTAAGATTGGCAATTTTCATGGATTTCAGCTTTTTTCTTTCATAGATCATAAGAAGAGACAAGTTCTGGGGAAAACTATTGAAAACCCAAGCATCAACATCAAAACAAAACTACAACATTCTATTTGTTTTCTGTAGCCAGTTAGAAAAGACTGTAAACTGATAGGCCAGTGCAGGAAAATACTGACTCCAATTAATTCAATTTAATTTGAATCAGTTAATTCAATTAAGTTCAGTAATGTTTACTGAGAACTATTATATGACCAGCACTGTGCTAGGCACTGAAGGCACACAAACAGGAGTAAAAGGTAGTACCAGCCTTCAGGAAGCACATAATCTACCCGGAAATACTGAAATGTACCTACATAACCATCATGTGGGAAAACATGGCCTAACGATTAAAGGTATGCAGATGTAAGAAAAAGCAGCCAAATCTGAATTGGGGGATCTGAGAAGGCTTCATTCACCAGGAAGGATAACAGTTTCTGGCCCATGAAGGATCTTGTATTATATCTTCACCTTCCCGATAAAACTGAGTTGCCCAGGCCACATTCACCTCTGGGCCCAGTTGGGGCCACACTTACCTAATTTGTCTCATTTTACTGGCTCATGCTCTTGTGTGTGAACCACATCTCTACTTCTGCTGTAAAGCTTTACCCTGTTATTTCTGAACACACCTTGGACAAATTATGAAACTTGATAATACTGTCTCCATAGAATTGCTGTATTAAATGAGAAAATGTATGTAAAAATTTATGGAATAGCTGTTATTATTTTATACTTGCATTATCTAACCCATCCAAAATAATTGACTGATGACCCATTGAGAGAAGTAAGGTAAAAGAGATAGGAAGCAAAGCCCCTCTCCCATTCCTCCTCCAGACAAACTTCACTTTAGGCCTATAAGTTTAAGAATGATAAAAGTAGAGAAAAGAAAGATAAATTTCTCTTTTGGTGCCATGATCTCGTAGTTTGAAAAACAAAAGTATTTGTTCTCACTCATAAGTGGAAGTTGAACAATGAAAACACATGGACATAGGGAGGGGAATACACACACCAGGGCCTGTCAGCGGGTCGGGGGGAAAAGGAAGGGAGAGCATTAGGACAATTACCTAATAATGCATGCTGGGCTTAAAACCTAGATGATGGGTTGATGGGTACAGCAAACCACCATGGCACATGTATACCTATGTAACAAACCTGCATGTTCTGCACATGTGTCCCAGAACTTAAAGCAAAATTAAAAAAAAAAAAAAAAAGAAAAGAAAAAAGAAAAAAAAAGTATTTTCCTATTATTTTCTTGATATTATTCTAGTTTATCACACAACTAAAAATTTATACCTCTTTACAAAGTAAAAAATAATGGAGACTTACAGAATTGTGGCAACAGCTATTGCATCTCCCAAAACCTTGTATAGGTGGACACATGGCTTAAGCTTCCAAGATTTTGCAGTGTGTGTTTCTAGTTAGCTGTCTTCTAAAACCTTTCATTTATCATTAAATGGAGGCATAACTCCCAGGTAGGTTTCTAAACACCCTTTACAATTTAAAGATAGTCATCAACAAAGTTGTTTTCTACCACTTTTATAGATCCATACCAATTCATTACAGATTGCATAATCTTAATGAAACTGGCACACAGGCATAATTTGTCATTAAGAATAAATTGTATGATGATGAACTCAGTCGATTAATCAAGGCACTGAAAAGGGCAATTGCTTGAAAAATGAAAGTACTGTTCTGGTTGTATTGATTATGTACTGTTTTTGGAAACAAACACATTTTACAATGCAGTAAAACATTCCTTGTTTTTAATTAAACTTTTTTTTTTTTTTGAGATGGAGTCTCGCTCTGTCGCCCAGGCTGTAGTGCAGTGGCATGATCTCAGCTCACCGCATCCTCTGCCTCCCAGGTTCAAGCTATTCTCCAGCCTCAGCCTCCCAAGTAGCTGGGACTACAGGCGCATGCCACCGCATCTGGCTAATTTTCGTATTTTTAGTACAGACCAGGTTTCACCATGTTGGCCAGGACAGTCTCGAACTCCTGACCTCAGGTGATCCACCTTGGCCTCCCAAAGTGCTGGGATTATAGGTGTGAGCCACCACACCCAGCCAATAATTATTATTTTTAATAGTTATTATTATGACTGCTGGTAGTAATCCACGGTATAGATATATCACGCTTTAACATTCAGTTGTTGAATGACATCTGGCTTGTTTTTAGTCTTTGCCTGTTGCTAATAAAGCTGTTATGAACATTCTTCTACAGATTATTTCTTAACGTTAAGTTTTTATTTCTCTGAAACAAAGGCCCAGTAGTGTAATTGCTGGGTTGGACAGTAATTGCAAGCTTGAATTTTTAAGAAACCACCAAACTGTTTTACAAAGTGACTGGAAAATTTTACATTTCCACCAGCAATACGTGAGTGATCCAGTTTTTCTACCTTTTTTTAACATTACGTTAATCTATGTAGATGGTAAAATTAGTAAATAAATAAATTACCCACATAAGAACAGCCTGTAAAAAGCCAGTTCAAAAAGTCCAAAGGGTAAAAAGGCAAGAGGTGTATAAAAAAGCCACCTCAGCCTCTCTCTGTGTCTCAGCTCACAGGGCTTCCAGGTATGCAACAAATGCTTTATACTTCTGAAAAGTACCTGATATACCCTAAGGCTTTTTCCAGCTAAATTAAAGTAAATAAATCTTTTTTTTTTCCCAAAATAGGATCATGGCCTATAAAATGCTTCAAGTAGTCCTGTGCTCAACATTGCTTATCGGTAAGAGCCTATTTCTTTTTTATTTATCATGTCTCCTACAGCCATCAGGTTGATAATTCCTTTTGTCTTCTTAAAGAAATGAACAAACACGTTTTTATCCATAGGCCTATTCTATAGCACTGGGGAAACCAAACTATTGTAGAAGGCTGTGGTTTTGAACATGTTAATGTTAACTGTGTGTGTGTGTGTGTGTGTGTGTGATCATTTTATTTCTAATTATATATTAACATGATACTGTTGCTAAGAAGCCTAATTGCTGCTGCCTCCAAATAAGTGCTGTTGTGTCCTTGAACAAAGAAAATTTTAAAATATCTTTCAGAAGTATAATACTTAACATAGTACCATTATATGAAGACCTCAAAGTACTTTGGGAACATGAATTTATTAACCTTTAGGGCAAGCTGTAGCTCAAAGTGGTGCTTTAAAGGCAGATCAAGGAAGGCACCAGAGGCCAGGCGATTTGCTGCCAAAATGACCCGGTAACTCAGTGGCTTCTATCAAAATTGAACTGAGAGGTCATTTGTTTTGCTTGTAACAAAAACTGAAAACACTTACAAAGATATAAATTATCTTCATGGTTAAATCTCTATAATTTATAAATATTTCTGATGCAGATGCTTAAATTAGAATAAACTTTTGCTTCTATGAAAATCTTGAGACTCATGCACAAAAATTATATTTTTCCTGAAGCCCTTCCCACACACAGCTAGATAGATGTATATATGTGTGTGTGTGTGTGTGTATATATATATATATATATATATATATATATAAAATAAGCCTTCAATTCCTAAACATAGAAATAATTTTAATAATGAGTTTTAATCATAAATATTGCAATTTGCTGTTGGGTCATGTTTAAATATGTGATTGAAACATTTTTAGCCAAGTTATTATTAAGCAGTTATAACCAAAGCATATACAATCATACACAATTACAGCCCACATTGCCAGATGAAGAAAGTGAGGCTGGCTCAGTTTAAGTGAGTGTCTCAGAGCACATTGTAATTTAAAGACATTAGCTGGTTATAACTCACCAGTGTAATGCTTTGCTTTGACCACTGATCCGTGCAGTTGACTTTAGAGGGGGTAACGGTGGTGGATGCCTGCAAGGCTAAAGCAATGCTGGCTGGTCCACATTCACCTATGAATGCTTCAGGGTCAAAAATATTTGACAAAGGAAATGGTTCTGCAAAATTTTTAAAGAGGCTTCAAAGACTTTCTTAAGAAACAAGTTTGAATTTACTTCAACTCCAACTGAGATACAAATATGTCTACCTATAAAGACAACTGGTTTGATTGACTTGACTCTAAAAAAAAATAATAAAGTTATCTAGTTGAAGTTTATGAAATAGCAAGTTGAGAACTAGAAACTAAGGACAGAGGTGTATGCACACTGCTGGATTAGCCCTTCAGATCTCAGGAAAGAAGGCTTCACTGCTTGCAGATTGAGGAGACTGATGCCTTCAGAACTGGATTCATTCATTACAATAACTGGTTTAGCTGACAGTTTCTACATCATGTAGCTCTAGAGAAGAAAGTAGTAGCTTGAATGAACTTTCTTTGCTTCTTTTCCTCCACATTTTCTTTTAAGAATACAGCCTATTCATCTGTACTTCTCTGAAGCCCTTCTGCTTATTATAAGAAAACCACTATTTTTTTTTAAAGTTTATTTTCATGTTTTTTAAGTTTTCTCTATTATAGCTTAGTCGTCCAACAAATTACTTTTCTTTAGAATTTGATTTAAGGGAGGTAGGGAGAAGGTCTCATTTATCTATTTTCCTGATGGGAATGCTGAGGCCAAAAACAATGAAAGGCCTTATCCAAGTAATTAAATTTATGGGCAGAGTTGACAAGTTATTGATTATTTTCAAAACAGTAACTTATACGCATTGGAGCTGATTCTCTAGTCAGAGAATTAGAAGTTCAAGTGTTGTGATTTGATTTAAAAAATAAGCATATAAACCTGTCTTGAACATTTAGGTCAAGAATTGCCTTCTTTCAGAAATGAAGGAGAGATAAAGAAAAAAAATTTTAATTGCCTTCTTCTATAATGAAATCAGCAAATATTAATGCTACTAATTTAAATTCCTTTTATGTGTCAGGGACTTTGCATAGGCTATCTTAGTCAGTTCTCATGACCACTCTGAAAATACTAATAGATGCTATGCTCCTCATTTTACAGAAAGAGGGAACTGAGGGCTTAGGGAATTCAAGTGACCAAGCTACACAGTCAATCAATGGTAGAAGCTGCATTCATGTCCTAATCCTACATCTACCACTTATGAGAACAAAACTCTTCTTTCTGCTACACAAACTCTCCCCTCTGGCACTGCAGTGACTGACATGGGCTAGCAGCAGCTCACAGAGCAAGACGTCCTCTTGAAAAAGTGGTAGAGGCAGTATCATAGCCGTTGCTTCCATAAGAAACAACCAGGAGTTAAGAAGCTGGGTGACCTTACCTGACAAAATTGAGCAGAACCAGGACACCACCAATGACTTTCAGTGACAGTTCCTAGTTGTACTAATGGTGAAGAGTAGCAACAGGGCATTTATTAAAACCAAACAGCTTTATATCACATACAAAGGAAATATGGAAATATGGAAAAAAAACAAATTTGAAAAGTGTTTTTCTAAGTGAACCAACTTTTGAACGCTATTAAGATTTATACTGGGTTTTTTTTGTTGTTTCTCATTTGTGTATTTTTTTAAAGGATTGCTTTCATTCTTCTGCTAAAATGAAAAATAGATTTATTTTCCCTTAGCAATCATGTTCTCCTGATCAGATTTGGCAGCTGGAGTTGACCCATACACGAAACGATTTGGGGGTCCATGCCCATATTGTTGACCTGCGATCAGATCTGTCCATAAAGTGCAAGTATGTCTTCTGGTTTTAGACAGGGAGAATAATAAGCTGCCTTTGGTCTGTTTTTCCTCTGGTAGTTCCACCTCTTATTTTTCACTCCACAGTTAGTAACCAATGCCAGTTTGTCTTGAAAGATTTTTGATTTGCTTTGTTTTTTGACAAGAGCTTTTAAGCTCACATATTCTAACACACAACCCTGTCAGCATCCCCAATCCCTTTCTTTTTGCTTTCTTCTCTACCATAGGAAGACTAGCCCTTTTCAGTCATCCCTGCAGCCCTCCAATTCCTTAGAGATTCTGTATTCTCTGACACAGTTTTGGTTTATTTTTAAAGATTTTGTTCTTAATTTTACCTACTCACTTGGGCTTATGACTGATTGATACTCTCAAGAAGATACATAATGAGAATAAACTGGAAAATAATTTGGCTGGAAAAAAAAATGTTGTTGTAGGAAAATCCAGGTTCTTGTCATGTGACCAGGAAAGATTAGGTTCGCAGACACTTTGAAGGGTGAAGGGGACGGAATTTATTGGACGAAAAGGAAAACGGTAAAACAACACAGCAAAGTAGGAGAATGGTTCCTGTTAACAGGCCCTCATTTCACAGATTGAATCCCAGGTTCCTACACAGGAACAGGAAGGGCCAGGCCCCTCCCCGCTGCAAACGGCCTGAGCTTCCGTGGGTCCACCCCTTCTCCCAGTGACCAGGCTGGTCGGAGGTTCTCCTGGGACCCCTTTATACTTGGTTGTCTCAATGTCATTGCTTATGACTAGATTCATTGAGCAGTCTGGGTGCTGTAGAAAAACTGTTTTCCTACACATATGGCATCATCTGTCATATGTATATGGAGATGGGGATCCCATCAACACATGTAGGCAATGACCCAGAAAGAGTCACTATTGAATCAAATACAATGCTGCCTTTCATGAATTATGAATTTCCATGTCTACAAGATTAAAAGTAATAAAAGAACCACCAGCTCCAAAAACATGTCCAAGGAAATTCTGTGGCCATAAGAGTGAGTGCCAACATTGTGTATGTGTGTTAAGAGCAGGTTAGAACAGATTTAAGTTAAACCCAAGTGACACCACTTCCTGTTTACTTTCCAAAATATTCAATATGTCAGCAATTGTAATGCCAGTAAAGTGGAAGTTACTGAGTTAAAAGGTCAGTTAGAAAGCATCCTGTTAGACCTTTGTTTTTTTGTTGCTGTTGTTTGTTTTGTTTTTGTTTTTGTTTTTTGAGACGGAGTCTCTCTCTGTCGCTCAGGCTGGAGTGGAGTGGTGTGATCTCAGTTCACTGCAACCTCCACCTCTCAGGTTCAAGCGATTCTCCCGGCTCAGCCTCCTGAGTAGCTGGGATTACAGGCATGCACAACCATGCCTGGCTAATTTTTGTATTTTTAGTAGAGACGGGGTTTCACCATGTTGCCCATTCTGGTCTCAAACTCTTGACCTCAGGTGATCCACCCACCTTGGCTTCCCAAAGTGCTGGGATTATAGGTGTGAGCCACCCCACCTCGGCCCCTGTTAGACCTCTGAACAGGACACTAGGATATGAGAGCCGGTCAGCAATTCAGCACCCCTCTCCATTTTTTCCAGTTTCCTTTCACCCTCTTTGCCTTCTGTTGTGTTACTTCCTTTATCTGCCCTGTGGCTTTTCACCTTTTGTCTTTTGTAAACCCGCTTCATTTTTCTATCTTTCCTTTGATTTTTTTCTTGATTTCTCTCTCCATCTCTTTTCTTCTATTCTCCTCTGTTTCTCCTTCACATTTTTCTCTCATAACCCAAATTGCTTCTCTTCCATTATCTGTCTCTCTCTCTCCTTTTCTCACCAATTTTTATCCAAGTTCAAGCAAAGTGAGGGAACATGTTCTACTAAACACAACTCTTCTGTCTTGCACTACACATTTTTGGGTCAGTGACCAAAGGTAATGGGGAAAGAAATAAAATAGCTATGCCATTGTGTGTAAAAATTACTTACTTAGTGGGGCGTGGTGGCTCATGCCTGTAATCCTAGCACTTTGGGAGGCAAACGCAGGCAGATCACTTGAGGTTAGGAGTTCAAGACCAGCCTGGCCAGAATGGCAAACCCCATCTCTACTAAAAATACAAAAATTAGCCAGGCGTGGTGGTGCATGCCTGTAATCCCAGCTACTCGGGAGGCTGAGGCACAAGAATCACTTCAACCCCAGAGGCAGAGGTTGCAGTGAGCCAAGATCGTGCCACTGCACTCTAGTCTGGGCAATAAAGCAAGACTACATCTCAAAAAAAAAAATTACTTAACAAAGAGAATATTCAAGTTTTAGAAAACATGAACGTAAACATGAGTATTTTAGTCTCTCACTAAATCGTATAACTCCCCCTACATTTACAGAAATCTTGGAAATTTTTACACCATTACTAAGACATTTATATATCCTTTTCTCCAGATCCTCTTTTGTACTTTACTCCTAGTGACCATTTATACTTTATTTCAGTACTTAATTTGTGTGTGTCCATAATTTTCTGGGCAGTTATTTCATCTTTTCTTAAAAAATAAATATTTTAAAGGCAAGGACTGAGACTCAGCAGTTCAATAAAAATAGTAAACAATAAATATTATTAGGTACTTATGCTGAGTGCTAAGTGCTTTACTTTCACCATCCCATACGTAAATATCTTTGAACTTTAAGCAAGCCTGCACTGCTTACTCTCCATCTCTAGTAGCAGGTATCAGGTAATACCCCAGATATCAGTATTACCTAGACCCTAAGGGAAATAGCTAGCAGTAGACCTCTCCTATGGATCTGCCCAGATATTTTATGTCTTCTGACCCCACTGAATCTCATTGCATTTATTTCAAAAACATACAGACATTGAAGGTTACATATGGGAAATAATTCGGTTGTGCCTATCTGGGAATGACAAGCTCCCACCGGAGTGCCCTGGCATGTGCTCTGTTTTTTTTTTTTTCTCCCTCCTTTTTTAGTGAGGCTTTGAGCAACAGACTATTGGGTTCTTTAAGCTACTCTTTCTTCACCACCCTCCAACAAATAGCACCCTTCTTCTTTGTCCAGTTTTGATCAAGTTGAGAAATAAAGAAATAAGATTATGGAAGGCAATCGATTTCCTTTATTCCTGAGAAGGGCTAATTTGGAAAATGTAGCTTAGTATAAGTACATAAAGGGCCTGATGACTGGACCCCCAAATTTGGCAAATTTATAACCAATTGCAGGTTGCAGAACCAGAACAGGAAGCATGCCCTAGGAGGGCAGTTTACTCTCAAGAGAAGAAGAAAGAGCTAAGCTGGACATGGTCAAGTTAAACTTCTTGGATTTACAAATTAAGTGAAGCACTGCCCCTTCCCAGGAGCAGAGCACACATAGGGGTGAAGAGGGGCCTAGGCTTACCCTAAATGAGCTTCCTCTACATCAGCAAAAAGAGAAATCTGCCAGCAGACTCTGTCCTTTAATTCTGTATCTTATTTTACCTTAGGCTTTCTGATCTTTTAGATATATAGGTTCCTACCACAAGTATCATTTCAAGGTTATGTGTATAGGGTATAGAATATTGTCTTTTCCCCACCATTATGTTTAAAGAGTTTTTTTCAGCTTTCTGTGGGTGCTAGTAACATAGAGACTTTCATTTCTAATGATGCAGTTTTCATTATGCTCATACTGCTCATTAGCCTGCAATGGGTACTCCCCACTTTGTTCATAATATGAATACATTTTTATCTGTTTTGTTTTAATTATTGGGTAAGTCTACTCTGACCTTTCTTTCACTTATTTCTGACTGTCGCAGTGCTAAATTTTTCAGTAAGTTCCTTGAAAGTAGTAGGAACTGTGCCCACTAAGCATATTCTCTGTGCTTCCGATAACACGATACCATGCATAGAAAGTAGTTTTTGATTAATGACCTATTTGTTATTAATACATTCCAGATCAAAATATTAGAGCTGGAAAAGACCTTAGTGGTTGTGTAATCCAGACTTGTTTCACAGAATAAAAAATGGAAGTGTAGGAATAAGAAGTGGCTCAATGACCTAGCTGGTCACTGGCGAGGCCAAGAAAAGACTCTGGGTCTCTGATCCTTCTTGGCTTGTGTAAGGAGAGCTGTGATCCCAAATAGTGTTTGCTTTATACTCTGAAGTGTTTGCCTTGTTTCTACTTTACAGAATTTTCTGCAGAGGATATTTAAGAAATGTTTAGACAAAACATTTACAGATCCTATTAAAGCTGACTATGATGTGAGTAAAAAAAGGGGCATGTGTAGGGAGTTGTAAATAAAGAGAGAAGGATATTTTTCATAGCTGATGATCATGAAGTTTAAGAAAGGCATTAACCTGGTTGATATTGCCTACATTTTTTTAAAAAACTCATTTAAAAATCAACACAGCAATAAAACTCAGGGTTCAGTTTTCAAACCCCAGCAATATTAGATAGGTTCACAAACACAAAACCCTGGTCTTGCTCTCACTAACTTTCAAGGTTGATCAGGCAGAATGAAAAAGGGAGGAGAAATTTCTCAAGCAGAGAGGATAATAGCCTGCCCTTCTATATTACTTGCATTTTTATTTCCAGCCCTGCCACTGACTTACTATATGACCTTGAGTGAGTCATTTCATCTCTGCATGTCAATTTTCTCAATTTGTAAAGTAGGATAATAAATACTAGTTTCTGTCTCTCTCATGGGTGGTGTTATCATCATCATCAATTAAGATTTATTGGATGCCTGTCGGGCTTATAATGCTGAGGTAGGTGGTTTGTCCTAGGGAGGAGAAGGAGATTGTATCGGTAAAACATTTTCCATGAACCAAAAGGTAAAAGACTTACAAAAGACAGAATTATTAGAGCATAAAATAGCTATTGTATATATTTTAAAGCATGCTTCTCTGCCAAGATTTATGCAATAGCATTTTTTTCTTAGTGATTGTATAATGCACCAGGATGACTATGGTACAGAATTCTGGTTTTACTTTTAGATAATTCCAAGTAACACTATCTTAAGCAATTACTACAGATTCACTATGTAGCTATAAATCATATCCTAAGCATCATTTACTTAGACCTATTTATTGTTTACTGATGGAATTGGATCTATTTTGCACAGCCACTAATTTTGTTTTGAAAAAAACACCTATTTATTAACAGAATAATAGCACATAAAATATGTAACACTGTAACACACACCTTTTCTTCAAAGAGAATAATCAGAAATCTGAAAAGTGACCCATTAGTGCATTTCATCTAAAAGCAAAAAATCAAAGCTGGTTAGTCCACACTGGTCAGCCCAAATGAATGCGTGTTCCTTCCTCCTGTCTTCCTCAAATCAATCCTGTTTTCCCATCCCACGTTCACCAGATTCAGGCCCTTCTTATCTCTCATCTGGACTATTGAATAGCCTCTGATCTCGTGTCCCTCACTCTTCTCTTCCTTTTACTATCTGTCCTTACACCACTGACAAAAGGATCTTTCAGAGTAAATCTGTGAATGAATAAATAAAATGTGGTATATATACATATATATTAAATACATAAAGTATTACTCAGTCTTAAAAAAGGAATGAAATACTGATGTCACAATGTGGAAGAACTTTGATGGTATTATGCCATGTGAAGTAAGCCAGACGGAAAAGAACAAATACTCTATGATTCCACTTACATGTGGTGCCTAGAACAGGCAAATTCATAGGAAAAGAAAGTAGAATAGTAGTTACCAGGGGTTGGGGAGGGGTTAATGCGGAGTTGTTTAAAGAGTGAGAGTTTCTGTTTGAGACAATGAAATAGTCCTGGAGATGGATAGCGGTGATGGTTACAAAACACTGTAGATGTATTTAATACCACTGAATTGTACATTCAGAACTGGTTCAAGTGATATGTTTTATGTTACGCATATTTTACCATAATACAAACAATTTTTTTAAAAAGTAAATCTGGTCCTTCCTATCATTTTCTTATTCAGAAATGATTATTAATTATTTAGAGTAAAGCCCAAACCCTTTGGTATGACAGTTAAAATCATTCAGAATTGAGCTCCAACTTACCTTTCCAGTGTTATCTCTGACCACATCTACACCACAACCCTACCTTTCAATCATATTGGTAAAATGAAAGTCACCAACCCTGAATCTTCCTTTGCTCCTCCATTCTTTAACTCTCCAGTCTCCTTCAGCCTAGAATACATGCGCTTTGCTTCCACTCCCTTCATCCTCATTGTTGAAGTGTAACAAATCTTTGAAGCTCAACTCAAAATAAATTTCTCTGTGAGGTGTCCATGACAGTATCAAAATTGCTCCAACTATGGATGGTCTGATCAAATATGTCTTCTTCTAATTATATATGAACTCTGACTATAATGTGAATTCTTTAATGGTAAGGGTTATTTGTTGTCTATCTTTGCATGCAGTAGTGATTAGCAAGAGTTATTTTTGTTTATCTTTCCATGCAATGATGATAATCAGAGCAAGGACTAGGGTGAGAGAAGTGAGGAACTTACGGTACAAAATTTGTATGACCCTGAAAGTGAGTTCCTTTTATCCTAGGTGTCTCACTTGCCTCAACCTAGTCTCAACCCTTGTGATTAGCTATTTACCTTGACATCAGTAAGTGCGTATAATGCATTCTATAAGTTATCTACTACTGCATAACTAATTTTTCCAAACCTTAACAGCTTAAAACAACTAACATATTATTGCAGTTGCAGGGTCATGAATTTGGGAGTGGCTTAGCTCAGTGGTTGTGGCTCTGAATTTATTATGACGATGCGGTAAAGATGTCAATGGGGGCTGCAGTCATCTGAAGGCTTGACTGGAGCAAAAACATCAGGTTCCCAGATGGCTCGCTTACCTGGCTATTAGTGGGAGGCATCATTTCCTTGTCATGTGGTCTTCTCCCTCAGGGCTGCTTGAGCGCCCTCACGACATGGCAGCTGACTTTTCTTAGAGCAAGTGGTCCAAAAGAGGGGCAAGGCAGAAGCTGTAATGTCTTTTATATCCTAGCCACAAAAATTGCACACAGTCATTCCACAGTAGCTTATGGTTATGTACGTCAGCCCTATTAAATAAAAGAGGGTACTACTATACAAGAATATGGATAACAAGAAGTAGTAATTTTTGGGAGCCACCTTAAAAGATGGTTTCCACAAACTTGCTGGTTGGATTATACTAAATTGGATTAGCTAGCAGCAGAACAGTATTAATTCTGGCATCTGTCACTAATACCTCCTAAGTTTAAATGTTAACTAATATTATTTTTTTATATAAAACTCTTCTATCTAGCCAACTCTGACTATTGTTTTAAGATACTGAAACACATCATTCCTCTGGCTTAAATTTTTTAAAAAATGTTTCTCCTTCTCCCATCCTGCTAAATCCAATTTTTTCTTCAAGGAGCAGGTGAAACAACTTCCTTGACCGAGAAAACGCCTACTTGTACCCCAGTGTCTTAGTGCTCAATAACAACATCTTCTCCTAAATTCCTTTAGTGCAATCAAATCTTGTGTTGCCTCGTTTTGTCTTTTATCTTTGACCCTGGATCCCAAATAAACAGAGAGCCCCATAGAGGGGAATTTTTATACCGTATAGCTTGCTATAACCCAGGTTTATACAGAAGGTTGGTCAACAGAGGACTGCTAATAATGAGGTTAAGTGCCTAATGTAACATTACTCACAATTAGATGTTGTAATAAATGCTTCTTTATCACAATGAACAGATTGTATTGTTGTCACATATAGGTCAGGAGAGAATGTGTTCTTCCTTTGTATTGGTTCGTTATAATTCTGAACGCAATTGTGTTTTACTTGAGAATGAAAATACAACACAGATTGTTAAAATCTCAAGATCTTTAAAAAGTCTGGATTTTTAAAAATTATCATCTCTTTTTTCTTCTTAATCCTGGAGTAGGAAGGAGTTGCAAAATACAAGGTGGTTCGATTTGATGGTGAATTGATCAATGCCAACAATTGATCAATGCCAAACCACAGTGTCAGGTTTGGGAGCAGCATAGTTCAAACAGAAAGATCAGTTCTATTTTGGAGGGCTAAGAAAGGAAGAATAAGATTGTTGACTGCCTAGTTTGAGCCAGATAGTTTACAGTCATCAATTTATCCAGTCCTTACAGCAAGTGTGTGTGCATTATTATACCCCTTAACATGCAAGAAAACTAAAGTGCGAAGAAATCAAGCAACTTTCCCCGAAAAGTGATAGGGCTGGAATTCGAATCCAGGTGTGGAGGCCCCCATGCATGTATGGAAGCTCTGATATCCTGCTCCATCCACCACATAGCACTGGCTTTCAAGGTGAACTAAATACAGGTCAAATTGAGTGGTTAGCATACAGTGGTGACAAAGGGCCAAGGAGTAGCTGTCTCACTCAGAGCTTAGCTTTTCCAGAGTTTCCTCCTCAGGCCCCCAGCCTACCAAAGATCACAGCTGGGTCTCTTGAAGAGGAAACATTGAGATGTAAACTATTGCTCTAAAAGATGCTGTGCTCTTGGACTCTAAATTGCAGGAGCATTGGGAGCGCCATTTTTGTTGGAAGACCCTGCAAACCAGTTCCTACGTCTCAAAAGACATGTAAATTTGCAGGATTACTGGGACCCAGATCACAGTTCAGATGTGTGGGTAAACACACTGGCTAAGCAGGTATTTGTATTAGAAACAAATGGTCCTTCACCATTTATCTTTTTAAATAGTCATTGCATTAGCTGACCACTAATTAACACATGACTAGCCTAGCCCTGATTTTTCCTCTCTAGACACTCTGAACTATATCTGCTTTTTCTTGCCCATGAAGTGGTTTTTGCCTGGTAAACTCTGCCTCTTGCTTAAAGACTAGACTCAAATGTCCCTCTGAAGCCTTTCCCTTCTTCTCAGGGCGACATTTGTCTTTCCTTCTCTCCCTTTTTGCATGCTCTTTCACAAATAAATAGCTCTCAAAATGTCAATTGGAATTACTTGTTTTGTGTACCCAACCTACCTACCTAGACTATAAAGGTAGGGTCTGTATCTTATCCTTCAAGGTAATTATTCTCGGGAACTAGCAAAATGATTGTTATATAGTCAAAGCTTAATAAATTATTACATGTATGTGTAGATTGATGAATGGATAGTGGTCGGACTTTAGTTCACTTTCAGTTGTTCAGTAGCTAAATATCCCCGGTGACAATTATTCAAGGCTTTAATGTTGTTCCTCCTTTTGCTTGCCTTTTGTACATTTTCCTATTCATTTGCATTCTCGCTGCAAAAGAAACAAAGAAGAAATTTGCATTGGCCTTTTTTATTCTATATTTACTTTTCTGATAGAAGAAGACATTAAAACTCCAGGCCAAATGAAATTGCTGAATTATCTGAGTATTTCAATTATTCATGATCTCCCTCTTACAATTTAGCAATTTAGGAAACAAAGTTGTATAATGAATGAATGAATTCTTTCACTTATTCTTTCTTTCTTTCCACATATCTCAGGATCTGATTATCATCAGGCATGAGGATTGTATAAAGTCATAAAAAGTTGAATGTCCTTGTTTTCATGGGGCCTTGATCTTGTCCGTACTCCACATAACTGGGTCTTAACCGGTCTACCAGGATCTGCTTGTTTTGCACTTGCTGATGAAAACTACTAACTGAATAATGCATCCAGTTTTATGGCTGTTTTTGTCCAATAGGCATTATTTAGCATTATTAAAACAAGACATTTGTTTATTTGGTCAATTAAGTGATTAAGTAGGCTGGTAGACTGTGTCTTCTTTATAGAATGTTGACATTTTCAGGTACTCTCCTGCCTCTACTTGTAGACCAGATTTGTACCAACTGACAGGCACTATGTAATGTAGCAAGACTCTGCTACATTGGTTTATACTGTGGCCCCACAAATACTGTAAAATATCTGAGTATTGAAATAAACAGATAATTAAAAGTATGAAAACCAAATTCTATTTGGTATAATTCTTCCATTATATTTTTCTCATCTTTTAGGAATATCTGTATGATAATCAGAATAACTGATGCAAGATGTGTTCTACACACTCAGAGATCATGACTTGTGTTTCCTTTTCTTGAAGGCTCGTGAAACATGGATTGCTTTGAAAACAACAGCACAGTATTATTTGGATATGAATACCTTCACCTTTGACATGTCTACTGCCCAGTAAATATGTTTTCCTGGTTAAAGCAGGAGGATGAAGATGGCAGAGGTTGGAATGGCATTGTGCCAAAACCATGGGTTTTAGAGATCTGAGGGTATATCCATGCTGTTTACTACATTATTTATTATGTCTGTCTCAAAGTTGTTGAAAACAGTAGTTATGAAAACCCATGTAGGAAACTGGAATAAGACATTCTCAATAAATGGTAGTTCTCAAAAAAAGAACTAAAAAAAAAAAAGGCTGTAGTAATAACATTTACCAAAACGATGGCATTTATGGGAAAAGGAAAGCAAAAACATAAACAAAGAAAAGTAGTTTCATTAAACCACTCTGTTCATAGCTTTTACTCTCTATTGCCTCTTCTTTGAGAGAGTTTTTTAATTCAAAGAAGGACAGGGAGCTCTCAAATGGAGCTGATCCTCTTCTCTCTTCTTCAGTGCTTGTCGCATTCTTAAGTCAGTCGATTTTAAAACCATGACTTTGAAACGTTTTTCATCAAAGGTGTACTGCTGAGTGGAGAATACAGCCTTACCTTAATACAACAAGTAGATAGTGGCTAGGAACTCAATGGAAGTCATTCACTTGTAAGTGCAAACTTCTTCCAAGTTTTGTAAAATTTTTGTAAGCTTTGCATTCTGTTCCACAATTTATTGATGTTTGTTTTAATGTGAAATAACAGTTTTGACTCACTGGCCAGGCACATTTTATAATTTTTTCAATTAAAACTGAAAAATTGGCCATAGGGAAAAGTGGACTGCATTTATCCTATAACTTTCCTAATATTCATGGATTACCACCTCAGTTTGAGAAGCATTGAGATGATACAACTAATTGCCAAGATTGCCCCCCAAAATCACAGGTAAATGGAATTTTTGTCTTCAGAAGTCTATTTATCTCCATTCTCTATTCTCTATTTTAGTTGTTCTCTCGAACAATTTATTTTTACCTTTTAAGGTAAATGGAAACATTTCCCTAAGACCTTAGTTGATCTTATGTGGTCTTAAAACAATCTTAAGCACTTTTTGAGTGGCAAGTAAATCAGAAAAACCAAATGCCAAGAAGTTGACTGGAAGGACTTTGGCCTCAGCAATTTCTTCTCCAAAAGGACACTGACAGCTGCTCAGTGTTTCACATTTCCCATCCTATGGCCTAGAGGTGTTTTCAGTGAGAAATTTAAGGCTAATTTATAACTTATTAAGTTAACTGCTATCCATTTCCAATAAATATGAACATAGATTTTTAAATTACATCTGAACAAACAAAACAAAGATGATGAATCATTTAGTTTTGCAGTGGGAAATAAGTTTGAGATTGTACATAAATATATCTTCAGTGTTTTACCAATAATATACATTTTACTAACACAAAGTTTCATTCTTTAATTATTTAATAAAAAATTGAGAATGTCTGTGTATTAGGGTTCTCCAGAGAAACAGAACCAATAGGATATGTATATATAGAGATGCTCCTCAACATACGATGGCGTTACATCCCAATAAACCCGTCACACGCTGAAAATATCATAAGTCAAAAGTGCATTTAATACACCTGACCTACCCAACCTCATAGCTTTGCCTAGCCCACTGATATGGTTTGGCTCTGTGTTCCCACCCAAATCTCATGTTAAATTGTAATTCCCATGGCCGGGCATGGTGGCTCACACCTGTAATCCCAGCACTTTGAGAGGCTGAGGCAGGCAGATCACCTAAGGTCGGGAGTTCGAGACCAGCCTGACCAATATGGAGAAACCCTGTCTCTACTAAAAATACAAAATTAGCCCGGCGTAGTGGCACATGCCTGTAATCCCAGCTACTTGGGAGGCTGAGGCAGAAGAATTACTTGAACCTGGAAGGCAGAGGTTGTGGTGAGCCAAGATCATGCCATTGCACTCCAGCCTGGGCAACAAGAGCGAAACTTCATCTCAAAAAAAAAAAAAAAAAAAAAATTGTAATTCCCAGTGTTGCTGGCAGGGCCTGGTGGGAGGTGTGGTGATCATGGGGGTGGTTTCTAATGGTTTAGCGCTATTTCCCTAGTGCTGTCTTGTGAAAGAGTTCTCACAAGATCTGGTTATTTAAAAGTATGTAGCATCTCCCCTTAGCTCGCTCTCTCCTGCCACCGTGTGAAGATTTGCCTGCTTCCTCTTCACCCTTCCGCCATGATTGTAAATTTCCTGAGAACTTCCCAGCTGTGCTTTCTGTACAGCCTGTGGAAGCGAGTCAATTAAACCTCTTTTCTTTATAAATTATCCAGTCTCTTTACTGCAGTGTGAAAACATACTAAACATGCTTAAACATACTCAGTACACTTACCTGGGCTTACAGTTGGGCAAAATCATCTGGCAACACAGTCTACTATAGAGTACTGTGTTTGTGTGGCTGATTGGGAGTCATGGCTGGCTGCTGCTACCCAGCATCAGGAGAGAGTGCTGTACCACATATTGCTAGCCTGGGAAAAGATCTAAATTCAAAGTATGGTTTCTGTTGAATGTGTATCACTTTCGCACCATAATTAAGTTGAAAAATTGTAAGTTGAACCATAGTAAATAGAGGACTGACTGTAAAGAGAAAGAGATTTATTTTAGGGATTGGCTCGTGATTATGGAGGCAGGCAAGTCCAAAGTCTTCAGGGTGGGCAGGCAGACTTTAGACAGGGGAAGAGCCAATGCTGCATTTAACACCTAACGCAGTCTGCTGGAAGAATTCCCTCTTCCTTACGATAGGTCAGTTCTTTGTTCCTTCCAAGACTTCAGCTGATTAAATAAGTCTCATTCCTATTATACAGGGTAATCTCCTTAACCCAAAGCCAACCAATTTAATGTAAATCTTATCCAAAAATACACTCACAGAAGCATTCATTTAATATTCGACCATGTTTACATATTCTACTGGAGGATTACAAACATAAATACTGTGGTGACTCTGAACTCTTCTGAAGCAGGTTTTCATTGTGAAGTTTAAAGGGAACTCTGTTGGTTTGCCTTCTTCACCTGCTTAATACAGAGGCCCACTATGTAACTGGAAATGACAGGTAAGGATAATCCTACTAAATCCAGACTCCCAGAGGCTTCTGTCCAAATTTGAGGCTCACTGGTCTGACCCTATACAAGCACTCTTCTGCCTAAGCTTTCCTGCATTTTCTGTAGAACAAGTCAACATATATGCCAAGGATCAGGCTGACCCTTTTTATGTCTCTTGAACATCCTACCCTCTAGAATTCATGTAATGTTGATTCACATGCTTTCCCAGTGGACATTTCAATGCCATATTAATACGGGGAAACAATTCCAAGTCTTCCTTTGATGATATGAAAAGCATGGTGCTAATCTTGTTATGTATCCTATTCAACCACTTTTCAAAACCTTCGACTGATTAAAAAAGAGGAAGTAAACATTTATTGAGATATATATTCTGCTGTGCACTATACGAAACCGTTATACCCTTTACCATTGAATTATAACAATCTGATAAGGTAGGTCCTACAGATCCCATTTTAGGGCGATGAAAATTAAGGCTTAAATTGTCTAAATAGAGCTAACTGGAGGCAGCTCTGTAACAGCAATTAAGAGTGTCTAGACTTCTGGCCAGGCACAGTGGCTCACTCCTGTAATCCCAGCACTTTCAGAGGCAAAGGTGGGTGGATCACTTGAGGCCAGGAGTTCGAGACCAGCGTGGCCAACATGGTAAAACCCCATCTCTGCTAAAAATACAAAAAAAAATGAGCCAGACATGGTGGACTGCACCCGTAATTCCAGCTACTTGGGTGGCTGAGGCACGAGAATCGCTTGAACCTGGGAGGTGGTGGTTGCAGTGAGCTGAGATAGCACCACTGCTTCCAGCTTGGGCGATAGAGTGAGGCTCTTTCTCAAAGAGAGATGTCTAGACTTCAATCATGGCTTCACTTTGGCTGGCTGTGGAGTCTTATTGACACTTCTCTGTTCTCAGCTTCGTCTTTAATAATATAGGAATAATTGGATCTACTTATTGTGAGGAATAAATAAGATGAGGTAGAACAGTGCCTGGCATGGAACTAAGCACTCAATAAAAGTTAACTGTTACTATTAGCTTTCCTAAGGTCACATAAAAGTCTATGCCCTTTTTGGTTTTTCGCAATGTATTCCAGAATTCTGTTATCCATAACTCAAAGCTTCCCCAAACCTGGCCTTTTTAAATTATTTCATCTACTCCCCTCAAATACTCTTTCTACCTTGTATCATTTATTGATTCATTTATCCACTCATTTAACAAACACGACTGCCATCTTTCCTTGGCCTAGGTATGGTGAAGGTACAAAGAGGACTGAGACACAGTTTCTTCTCCGTAGAGCTTCTAATTTAGTAAGAGAGAAAAACATCCACTGCATTTATACAGAGGAAAGCTACATTGATTCAAGTTACAAATTTATATGTACACAGAGGATAGAAAACTTACTCAGCCTGGGGGATTCAGGGAAGGTTTCACTGAGGAGGTGGATTTAGATTTAGGTTTCAAAGAATGCAGAAGAGTAACATATGCATATGTAATTATAGCATATAAAATTGCTATAATTACAACTTTTATGTACAGAAGTTTATAGTACACTTACCTACATTCATCACTATCACTGTTGTATGTAAGTATACCATTATCAGGAGGCTGAGGCAGGAGAATGGCATGAACCCAGGAGGCGGAGCTTGCAGTGAGCCGAGATCATGCCACTGCACTCCAGCCTGGGTGACAAGGCAAGACTCCATCTCAAAAAAAAAAAAGTATACCATTATATTATTGCAGTGCAGTTGGCCTTCCATATTGGTAGGTTCTGCATCCACCAATTCAACCAACTGTGGATCAAAAATATTTGAAAAAATAAACAATAAAAAATAACAATAAGACAACGAAAAATAATACGAATGTTAAAACCCGTACCCTGTAACACCTATTTACATAGCATTTCCATTGTATTAGGTATTATAAGTAATCTAGAGATGATTTAAAGTATACAGGAGGATGTGCATACATTATATGCAAATACTATGCCATTTTATATAAGGCACTTGAACATCTGCAGATTTTGGTGTCTGTGGCGGGGGTGGGGGTCCTGGAACCAATCATCTGTGGATAGCAAGGAACAGTTTTAAGGTTAGGATTTAATTGAGATTTATATTTGCAACTCCAACGATATCTAGGACAATGTTTGGTGTGCAGTAAGTGTTTGATGAATAAATGGGTACTGATGAGGATGGTGCCTATCAGGAAGCCATAGTCACAAGATTTTGCTCTTACCCTTTTATGTCAGTGACAGGACAAACAAATACGATGTGATGTAATTTATCCACATTGCTGTCCAGTGAGTCAGTAAGAGAACTGAATAAGAACTCAATAGTATTTTTTCATTTCTGCTTCTTCAGTTTCATCCACACAGCAGAGCCAGTCTCAAAAGATATCCACTTTTGTGCCAATTCATTATAATTTAAATAGAATAACTAATGGATGAGAACCACTGTACACATAACAAATTAAAAATGAAGGTATTTATTTTCCTGTGTGGATTTTACTTATTCCATTTACTTTCTTCAGATTGACCTCAAATATCTCAGGCAATTGAATCAGGCAGAAAAAATATATCTCTCACACTGTTATCTTCAATGACAGTGGCAATCTGAATGAATTTTATTGAAAGTAATTTAGCATTGACTGGTTAAATATACAAACTACCCATCTAAATCAGAGATAGTGCCGGACTACTTCAAATTAGAGACAAAAAATAAATATTTGGAGATTACATCACAAATTGGAACTGTCTTAGAAGGCAGTTCAAATGTAAAAATGAAATAAATTATTTAAATTTAAAATATTTTACTCCATCCATCAGTGACAAAAGCAGCTGCACTTTCTCTTTCTAATCATAACAATAGAAAACAAGCTAGCTATTTTTTAACAGACAAGTTGAGGAAAGATATGCCTTCTTAGCTCCATTCTTTTGCCCCATTAAAAGTATATTTTCGAAGAGGTATTCTGGTGATCTTTAATCCAGGCAGTAACTATACAGAGAAAAAAGTAGCCACACCTGTAGTATAGTTGAACTTTTAACTACCTTTAAAGACCAGACAGGAATTCTCTGGCATTTTTCCTGAGAGTTTTAATGTTTAACTTTGGGTTGTGCCCCACTTGGGGAAAGAATATGGAGGGAGTATAGCCTGGTATTTAAGAATGTAGCCTCTGGAGGCAGAAGTCTGTTTAGGTCTTATAAACACCTAAGGGCTGCTATTGTTAAAGTTACAACTGTACATGATTATGGTAGCAGTGTTGAGGAAATTCCTACTGGGGACCCCAGTCAACAATTTTTAAAAATTTTTTTTAAATTTTTTGTTTTTTTAGAAACAGGATCTCACCCCGTCACCCAGGCTGGAGAGCAGTAGTGTGATCGCAGTTCACCACAAGCCTCAAACTCCTGGGATCAAGCCTTCCTCCCGCCTCAGCTTTCTGTGTAGCTGGGACTACAGTCACATGCCACCACACCCACCTAATTTTTTTATTTCTATTTTGTAGAGACAAGGTCTTGCTATGTTGCCCAGACTGGTCTCAGACTCCTGAGCTCAAGCGATCCCCCTTCCTTGGCCTCCCAAAGCCCTGGTATTAGAAGCATGAGCCACCACACTCATGGCTAACAATATTTTTGATCACCTCAATTTCTCTGATACACATACTATCACAGATCATTTCCCCTTAATGTGCCGTAAAATAATTACCCAAATGATGAACATTTACATTTTAAAATTCAAGGAGCTCCCAGTAGTCAATAATTCCAAAGCAACAGAGATTAGTCTTGCTATTGTTCTGTTTTTCTAAAGAATCTCACACGTCATCCACACCAGTTCTACATTTGTGGGCTTGCTATGTTTGAGGCGCTACAGCTGCTTTGTGCAGGGCATCAAAGATGAATGAGACCAGTTCCTGCTGGTAAGGATCTCCAGATATGCAGTGAAGTGAGGAGCTACTACTGTCTGTGCACACTACAACGAGGTAAAGTGCCACAACAGAAGTCCTGTCCGCAAAGGGTTCTCGATGGCTGGGTGCCTGCCTGGAGCTCCGATCTCATCCTGCACTCTTCTCCCCTCTCTCTCGCTCACTGACGTGTTCCAGAGCATTGGCCTCCACTATGATTTTACAGCACGTCAAGGCTGCTCCACTGTCAGCAACTGACGCTTCCCTCTTCCTGGACTCTTCTTCCCTGTGAAATTTAAAAGGTTGATTTCTCTCCATCATCCAGGTCTCAGCTCGTATTCCTCTTCAAGGATAGCATCCTTACTATCTGGTATTAAGTAGCTTACTGTATCACTTTATTCTTGCTGCTCTAACAAATTACCACAAGTTCAGTGGCCCACAACAACTTGAATTTATAATCCTTTTTTAAAACTTTTTTTTATTTTAGAGACGTGATCTTGCTATGTTGGCCAGATTTGTCTTGAACTCCTGGCCTCAAGCAGCCCTCCACCTCCATCTCATGAAGTGCTAGGATTACAAACATGAGCCACCATGCCTGGCCCTTAATTTATAATTGTATAGACCTTTAGGTTATAAGGCTGACATTAGCCTCACTGGGTTAGGATCAAGGTGTCAGTGGGACTGTGTTTCTTTCTAGACAATCTTGAGAGAAATCAGTTTCCTTGCCTTTTTCAGTGTCAGGAAGAAAATATAATTTTCTTCATCCCTCAAAAGTTTGTAGTTGGGACAGACCCTTATAATAAAAGAGACATCATCAAGAGAAAAACAATTTATTTTAAAATACAGGGCATATCGCACAGGACAAACCTCAGTGAAAAGTACAGTGGTCCTTTCTTATCTGCAAGTGATATGTTCCAAGATCCCCTCTAGATGCCTCAAACTGTGGATAGTACTGAATTAGTGTACTATCAGTACTGAATTAGTGTACTGAATTAGTGTAGCGAATACCTACTGCATTAGTGCATTCTCACACTGCTATAAAGAACTACTTGAGACTGCATAATTTATAAAGAAAAGAGGTTTAATTGCCTCACAGTTCCACCACCTGTACAGGAAGCACGGCTGGGGAGGCCTCAGGGAACTTACAATCATGGCAGAAGGTGAAGGGGAGGCAAACATGTCTTCACATGGCAGCAGAAGACAGAGAGTGAGGGGGGAAGTGCTACATACTTTTGAACAACCAGATCTTGTGAGAACTCACTATTATGAGAACAGTAGAGGGGAAATCCATCCCCATGATCCAATCACCTCTCACCAGGTCCCTACCCCAACATTAGAGATTACAATTCAGCATGAGATTTGGGTGAGGACACAGAGCCAAATCATGTCACCTGCATATGCTGTTCTTTCCTATACATATATACCTATAATAGTACATTAGGGAAGAGTAAGAGATTAACACCAATAACTAATAATAAAATAAGACAATTATAATAATATATCCTAATAAAAGTTATATGACTGTGATCTCAATCTCTGTCTCTCTCTCTCTCAAAATATCTTATTTTACTCAGCCTTTTCGGTTTTTTTTTTTTTTTTTTTTTGAGACAGAGTACCACACCCTTTTGCTCAGGCTGGAGTGCAATGGCGCAATCTCGGCTCACTGCAACCTCTGCCTCCCAGGTTCAAGTGATTCTCCTATCTCAGCTGCCTGAGTAGCTGAGATTACAGGCACACACCACCACACCCGGCTAATTTTGGTATTTTTAGTAGAGGCAGGATTTCGCCATGTTGGCCAGGCTGGTCTCGAAACTCTGGCCTTAAGTGATCTGCCAGCCTTGGCCTCCCAAAGTGTTGAGATTACAGGCGTGAGCCACCACGCCTGGTCTATAGTCAGCTATTTTTTCATTACAGTTGACAGCAGGTAACTGAAACCATGAAAAGCAAAACTGTGGATAAGGAGAAACTACTGTAACTCAAGGCAGTGGCTTAGAACTCTGGCTTATATGGCATCTTTAACAAAGAAAAATAAATCTATAGAGAAAAGACAGGATAAAGGAAAGTGGTTTTAGGCTTCCAAAGGTGGAAACCATGGCAACATAAATGTATGGGAAGACACTAATGGAGTAAGGTTTGTTGATTCCTCTGGTCCCCTCTAATAAGCATTGTCTCTAGTAAAGGAGAATTTATATCCTGTAAGCAGAAAAGGGGGAGGAAAGAGAGAGGAGAATTCCTCCACTGCTGCTTCTTAATTGCCTTAGGCTCAGCAATAATTTTTATAACAAGGAGGCATATTTTGGGGTGACATTTCTAAGACACCGCATTCCTTGGCTTGTGGCCCCTTCCCATCATCTTCTCTGCCTCTTCCATCACCACCATTCTCTCTTTCTCTTCCGACTCCTCTCTCTCTGACAAAAGCTAGGAAAAGTTCTCCATTTTAAAGGACTTGTGATTAGGTTAAACCCACCTGAATAATCTAGCATAATCTGCCTATTTTAAGCTTCTTCACTTTAATCATATCGGCAAAATCCTTTTTGCCATATAACAGAACATATTCACAGCTTTCTGGGATTAGGATGTGGACATCTTTGGGGGCTGTTATTCTCCCTATCATCCTTAACCTTCCCCTAGTTTCTCTCTATTATGTTGCCATTTTTTAATTTCTTTCATTTTTCTTTGAGACAGCGTCTCACTCTGTCACCCAGGCTCGAGTGCAGTACAGCAATCACAGCTCACAGCAGCCTCAGCTAATTTTCTTTATTTTTTGTAAAGACAGGGTCTCATTGTATTGCCCAGGCTGGTCTCAAACTTCTGGCCTCCCACCTTGGGCACTCGAAGTTCTGGATTACAGACATGAGCCACTGTGCTGGGCTGCTTTTTTGTTTCTTGTTATTTTGTACAGCACTATAGGAAATTCTCTTGTTTATTAATTGATAATGTACTTATTTTTACATATTTAGTCCATGAAAAGCCTCCCTTCCACCTCATTTCCCTTGTGCTACTCTGTAATCTTCTTGAGAATCAGAACTTGAGCTACATTGATCACAGTAGCATCCCCAGCCCCTAGAGTGACTGCTGGTAGAAATTATTGTTAAATAAATAAATAAATAAACTAAATTTTTATAACTGGTATAAGCTTTAGAGAGGAGGCACAGCTTAAGTTGCTCGAAGATATGTAAGAAAATTATCGGGTGACAATCAGAGAAACTTTCCAGCATGTGCAATAGAGAGCAGGGTCACCACAGAATGATGATACGATGGTGCTCTTGGAGGAGGCCAAGGATGTGAGAGGCTGCAAAAAGTGAGTTGGA